>NC_000004.12:133163805-133466835 GCF_000001405.40 Homo sapiens | reverse complement strand
GGAGGGAAGCAAAACTATCTGTAGAAGACAATTGATTAAGATGTGGTGTTTTAAAGACTGTGCTTTGACCCTGTGCATAAGCAGACTAAGTCCCCTGAGGCAGACAACCAGACCAGATGACCAAGCAAAAGAACTTTACCTAAGTTTTCATGAAGAGATTTCTAAAATCTTAAACAAGAAGCATTAAGGACAAATTTGAAAAATAAATTATAAAAATTACTGAACTAAAACATTAGGAGAAAATTTGGATCATGGCATCAGAACCTACTGCATGACTTTTTCATTAAAAAATAGATATATATTTAGAAATTCATGTGTTTCTCGTTTTAATTAATGAAGTCAGTCATTTTTGAGAAATTATTTTTTAGTTTTCATAAAGACTTAACAACTTTCAGTCAATATTATGCATAGATATTTGGGTGAAGGGTTTCTATCTAACCCTAATTAAAGATTTTTCTCACCTAACATAGGCTAAATCAGTTAATTGGCAATTACCAACTACAGTTCAATTTTGGGCTCTGTGCTATACTTCTGAAAATATAAAGTACTGAATAAATAAATAATACAATATACATAAAAAGATCACCACATTAAAATATTTCAGTATGACCCATTTAATGTTACAAAAGTTTTCTTTTAACTTCCACTTCACAGAAGCCAGTCTAGAACTGTGATATGGTACAGATCTTGTTAGAACAAAATTCACTGAATGTGAGACAGCAGGGCATTCTTCTTTCTTCCATCCAGAGTCGCTGTATTTTCAGTATTCTATGATAAAGCTATGAATAGACAACCCTGCTTCTTGAACCCTTGACCTCATATCCTGTAAGTGGATAAAGTATTAGTACATCAATATTTTATTGAAATCCTATAATAAGCAACATATGCATTACATTTCTTAGAAAGATACCATTTTAGTAACAGGAATTAGCACTCTATTGAGTATGAGATGACATTTGACTCTATGGGTCATTCTTTGTAAATCAAAATTTATTTAGTAATAGTAAAGTAGAAGAATGTGGGTAAGAGATCAATAAATAACGTACTCTGTTCTGGCTATCAGAGACACAAATAGGATTCAATCAATCATAATGAAGTTTATTTTTCTCATATAATTCTAATTTTTTTTTAAAAGCAATACCTGAAATGCTAATGGTAAGCAGGGCAGTAAGGGATCTGCAGAGGTGAAGTTACATCCCTGGGAATGATTATGTATATCTATGACTGTAGATGGCAAAGATGATGTTTTTTTCTTTTTGAAACCAGAGGCTTTGCAAATTGACTTTACATAATGATTGCCTTTAATAATTATGTAGATATCAGTCAGACATAATAACCTCCTCCTTCTTTCTATCAATTATTTTTTAGTTTTCAGGAACAAGCTCAAGTTATAGTTCCTTTGAAGCATTTGATTTGTTTTGTCTCTTCTGACCTCTAGTGATCGCTGTGCTCTTTAAACTCCTACATTTTAGAACCACACCATTTAATCTTTGTTTTTACATTGTACATTTTTATCCTTAATAGTATAACGAAAGCTTACAATGTTGCATCGGTATAACCATAAGCACTTTGAAGTCAGTGAATATGCCTCTGATTTCCTTTTATTCTACAGAGTACCCTGCACTGAGTGTTGCATAAAAGTTGCACAATAAACATGTAACAGAAATGACTGGCCTATACGATGTAAGTAATATATGGCTAAACCCTTTGCTTGTAAGGCATGGCTCCTCAGATATTTATGGGCAACATTCTTGATGTTTGTAGGCAAGATAATTATCTTTTTAATTGGCATTAATGTAAGAAATAATATTAGAACCGTGTCAACAATGTAATTTCTTTGATGGCACTGCTCAAATGCAGCTCACTGCAAGAATCCTCCTCTAATATATTAATTTGGGAACCTCTGCAACTTTCTAAGTAATATACGAGGAACAACCATATATGACGTGCCAGGTTTTGTGTTAGTGTTGGACATTCGATGGTATTTAAAATGGCTATGCTTTATGCCTTATAATTCTTAACACTTTAGTAAGGAAAAGAGATATTAAACAAACAATTGCAATGAGTGAAATGTACAATATGTTAAGTGAATGATATATCGGAAGGCCCTTTTCAGGTTGTTTTGGTCCAAGAACGTCCTCATGAAAAAGCAATGAGTAAGCTCTGGCTTGAAGAGCTAGAACTAGGCAAAAGACGCAAAAAGAAAAATGATACGCGAAGGAAGAAAAAAATTATTTGTGATCTAAAGGACATGAAGGGTGAATTCAGACTGAAGCTTAGTGCAGAGGAGGAGAGTGTGAACAGAGGTTGACATAGTCATTCATTAGTCATGTTGTTTGTTGAAAGCTGCAATGTTTCAGGCACTCTGCTAGGGGCTGGGTATGGTGAAACTTAGTATCCATTGTCCAACATGGTTTTTGTTCTAATGGAGTTTAAAATCTAGTAGTAAAGATAAATATCAGCAAAAATATTTATTTTGGAATAATTTAGTTGGATTCTTTCTAAGCTTCAAACTGAGATAACTGTAAGAGAAAATGTTATACTTATTTTTAAGAATAAGACAAAGATCAAATCTACATTAGTCATATGCAAAGCTGCAATAAAGAAACCGCCTTAAATTGGGAGGTCAACAAAAGATTCCCTGGGAAGGATTATTAAGCTGAGAGAATTAAAGTAAGAGAAGAGTGTGAAAAGGGAGATATAGAGGGAAAGGCATGTGCAAGGACCTTTGGTAGAGGGAGCATGTTTCTAAGAAACCAAAATTCAACCAGTGTGGCTGGAGTACAGCAAACAAGAGAATGCTTTAGGAGCCAGACTATGCAACATTTTCTAGACCACATGAAAGACTTACATATGTAAAATGAATCTATAGTTCACATGTATTTTGTTTCTTCAGAGCATAGAGAGGTCATTGGAGTATTTTAAGCAGGAGAAATGACATCATCAAATTTGCATCTTGAAAAAATTATTAGAACTTCTTTTTGCAAACTGATAGGAAAAACATTCCCAAGGTATTGGTGCTCTACCACTAGACTGGCACAATAAGTCAAGAGGAAACAAAAGTGTCCAAAATAATATAATTCATATAAAGTCTTCCTCAGCGGGGGAAGGGTCTAAGAGATATGTTTAGAAGTGAATGAAGAAAGGAAGGCCTTAGAAAGGAAGTTCTGTTGTTGGTTTCTCCTGCCCCAGGATTTCAATGAGCAAGATCCCAAGGATGACTGCTTTAAAATTTAAGATCAGAATGGGATACAGTCATTTTTAAGAATAAGGAAAATTTTAAGGCAAATGCACAGTTACTTTCTTACCATTTTTCATAGAGAAACAGAACATTTCCCAGTATCAATTAATTACAGGCAACTTTGGCAGTTTAGGAAAATGAAGAGAGTCACCCCCCTGTGACGAGTCTCAGGAAGACAGACAGAAACCCAGATAGGCTTGAGAGCTTCAGAGAGAAGCAAATAAGGATATGCATGAGGTATGCTTGGTTTTTGGAAGAAGGTGAGAGAGAAAAGGGCTTGGTCTGAGAGAACCTCCGATGAGTCAGTGTCCCAAGGCCCCAGTAAGTATAGAACAAGGCCCCAGTAAGTATAGAAGGAAATAAGAGAAGTCCCTCTATTTTGCATAAGAGGCCCAGAGGAGAAAAGATAAAACTGCTGCCTTGAAATAATTTGTAAAGATACATCATATGTGGATCAATGTCTGGATGCAATTGTAGGATCCAGGTAATCCAGTGCTCTATGCAAGAAATGCAAGCTCATGCTGGTGCCACAGATGTCCTCGTTGAGAAGGACTCTTTCTAGAGAATAATCACAGACCAGATGCTTCACCATAAGATTATGCAAAGGCCCCAGAATGTTGAGTCCATCCTGAGAAAGAATAAGGAGCAAGTAAATCCTGAATGGAGTAAAGGAAAAATTAGAGGTTTTAATTTGTTTTTTCACAACTGAAAACATGGTGTGAAATATCATAGTTATCATCCGTATGTGTGTCTGCCTATCTAGGATATAAGAGTATATCATTTTCATGTATAATAGGAAAAATATGAATAATATCAAATAATATGAATAAATATGAATAATAATAGAGTAAGTTTATTTTAAGAACTAATCATTTACAAAGGAATCCCAAGGGGTAATGTCGTAACCTGAGGTTTAGTTGCAGCCAAGCAGTACACCAGGTCAAAAGCACTAAGAAGGAATGCAGTTGCTAGAAGTTGGAAGAAAAGAACTGGGGGACGTTTGCAGCCTTGAGAGAAGCAGTGACTATGATCACAGCTAGCTCCAGATAACCTTGCAGGAAGAGAGCTAGGGGAACTACGTGCTGAGCTCACTTTCCCGTCTGCTCCTTCCTCCTGCCATGCTGCTGCAGCTCTTATGTGGGGAGCTCAACAGGAAACCAGAGGGCATGGGGACCAGTAAATGTAATACATAGAAAACATCTTTCTGAACAGAGCAGGGTGGGTAAAGTGGAGAGATGATCTACCTGACAAACTCATTGGTATGCCCTGCCCTGCTTATGTTTTGAGGGGCAAAAGGAGAGATCCAGTACAAACTACAACCTTCAGAGGAAGGTTTATGCCAACAACCTGGACTTTGAGGCTTCTACAGAGAACTTTTTGAAGCTCTACACAGAACCAACAATTTGTGACCAAAAAAAATATATCTGGTTTTGAATGTTAAAGTGATGTTTATTGCCATAAACAATAGATTTGGCAAGAATGCTTGACAGTATGAAGTAATATTCACATTCCAGATGGTAAAACTTTTGTGTACTGTGGACAATAAACACACAATTTGATATCATTATGACAGACCCTGTGCCTTCCACATTTTAGCTACAATTGTGGAGGAAGATAAGAATCCATGGGTATCCACCCCTAATGCTGCCTTCTGGAACTGGAAATCTGGGAGTGTGGCTGTTACTGAAGGGACACTAGGTCCTCTAACTGGATAAAGGCAAGAGAATAGAGAGAAATGCATCTGAAATCAGGACCAGAAAGGGCGTGATGACAGCCTGAGCCCCCCAGGGCCTGTAAAGGACAAGAGGTCCAGGAGAAATATTTCATGCGCCTGAAAAGGACAAGCAAGATTGCTGGAGGAGAAAACTGGCAGCCTGAAGGGATCTCCTGATTATGACCCAGTGATTGCAGCCTCAGATATTAAAGTGGACCATATGAGCAGGAGGTCAGAAAAAGGCATAATAGATTCAGTGATGCACCCTACTCCCAACACCTCCCCGGGGGAGGAATATCAACAGCTAAAAGTAGGTACGATAAAGCCCCAAAGTCACAATGGATAATTGGATATATTAGCAGATATTTGTGTAGGAGAGTTCAAGAACCCTCAAAACTCATATTAATCTTAGAAGCTAGAATCAACTTAACATATAAAGAGGAGGAAGAAAGAAATTTAGAATTTGACTCGTAATGAATAAGAAATAAAGATATGAATAAATTTTAATGGAAATGACTAAATTAAGTTTTCTGCTTTGACATTTAGCTTGATTCTCTTTTCCAACCAAAATGCACTAAGGTTAGTTATAAGAAAATAAAGAGGCAGGGCGAGGTGGCTCACGCCTCTAATCCCAGCACTTTGGGAAGCCGAGGCGGGCGGAGATCGAGATCATCCTGGCTAACACGGTGAAACCCCGTCTCTACTAAAAATACAAAAAATTAGCCGGGCATGGTGGCGGGTGCCTGTAGTCCCAGCTACTCGGGAAGCTGAGACAGAATGGCGTGAACCCGGGAGGCGGAGCTTGCAGTGAGCCGAGATCGCGCCACCGCACTCTAGCCTGGGCAACAGAGCGAGACTCCGACTCCAAAAAAAGAAAAGGAAATGAAGAAAGCCATATTTTTGCATGTCTTAATTTGTGTTTGGTGAAAAATTGTATTGGCCATGGATAGACTGTGTGGATTTTGTGGCAAGTGTAAATTGTGTTATCTGAAAAGCATCTATCTTTCAGATAAATAAGTGTGCAGAGATTTTATTAGGGCTTTCTCCTGGGATCAGCACCTGCAAACAAGAAGAAAAAGTAGAATTGTGCAGAGGAAGAAGTTGAACAGTGTTACAGCCTGAAAGAAAGCTATAACCAACCCTATGGGGAATTCTGAAGCTAAGGTGAGTCTTTGAAATTTTCCCAAATTGGGTAAAAAAAGGCTGGACCTTGCTACTCTTATGTCAATTAGTAATTCGATGTGGCAGCCCCAGGGAGGAAGTGTGATCTGAGCAAAGAGGTTATCTTTGGTCCACGCAATTCTTGGGGCTGAAAATTTAGAGCTTTCTGCAGGCAGCATTTATGGTCCTTCATTCCCAAAAGGCATTCTAGATGTCTCATCAAATTATCCATCACACTCTACTCCTTCAGCAGCTCTGATCTACTTGACTTGTATAAAAGGTCACCAAATATGAGAGTAGTTCCTCCAGGATTGTGGTGGGACTTTTCTTCTGGGAGAAATTTAGGTTAGTGGGATGAACGACTCTTCTGTCATTTAACGGGTTTCAGCTATGCAACGCCCCTTATCACTATCCTCTACAATCTATGCTAGATTCCTCATACCCTAAAGGAGTGCTTTTTTGGTCTTGGTAGCTTACTGTTGATATATCATAGGCCCTCATCTCTGGGGGTTCAGAGCTTCTTTTCATTACATATATCTCAAGCTGTGGCTGCTGCATTTGCTCATTTGTTATCAAAATAAGGTAAGAGAGTACCAAGAGATCTGCAAGGAGATTACTTCTGTGCCAAGCTTACCTGTCCATGATGCTATTGGGTAATAGATGTCTTAATTCCTCCTAATGATAGGCATCATTTCTCTCTTCCACAATAGTAATAACATGTCTTCTTTCTTATTTCCTTGGCATGTGAAACCCAAAGCACAACAGTAATAGCTGTAGCTTATATTTCAATGTAACTCTTGCTATGTCTCTTGGTGACAATGTCTATTGGTGCTATGTCTCTTGGCTTTCTATCAAGCCAGCAGATTCTGGGTGGAATAGAATGCCATAAAACCAATGGGTCACATCATGATGGGCCTATCTCCACATCTTCTTTGCTATAAAATGGATCCTTTGTTCACGTGACATTATGTGGTATCCATGCCAAAAGATCAAACACTCTGTAAGCCCCAATAGTAAGTCTGACAAAAGACCTGCTGGCAAGAGGCAAATCCTGGTACAGAATATGTATTTATTACTTTCAAAATAATTTTCCCCTTCCATAGTTGTAGGGGTTTAATATAGTCAACTTGCCACCATATGGACCATTGGTTTCCATTACAGTTAATACTGTTGTAGAGACTCACCGTTAGTTTCTTTTTCTGGCATTTGGACAAGTGAAAGCAGCAGAAAGTTATCAGCTTTGATACGTGCAAACCCATGCCCTTGGATATATACATCACTTTTGTCCCTGACACCATGGATTCTCTGTTCATGCACCCATTGTATCAGCACTGTTGACACTGCTGACACCAAGACTGACTGATGTTAACCAGTCAGCTTATTCTGCCTACCTGATCTTTCCATATCTCTTTTCTGATGAAGAGCCTCTGGTGTATGTTATCAAGCAATCCAAAGATCTGCTTATTTGGTGCCCTTTCTCATAGGTTTATTTATAGTTTTCTACCCCAGAGTTTCTAATTTCTTTAATATCTCTCTTGATTGGCCACTGACAAGCCAGAGAAATCATACATCACTGGCTATGAATACATAACCTTGGGTCACTTCTCTTTCCATACAGTGTGAATGACCTGATGTATCACCCAAAATTCTGACCATTAGGAAAATTTTTTCTCACCACTGTCTTTCAAGGCTACTCCTGAGTGGGGCTGTAATACGTTTATCATCTATTCAGGTGACCTATCTGTAAAGCAAGGTCAGACATTTTTCTCCATTGCCTTGTGTCAGAAGATATCTCTCGTACAGATGTTGGTTTTCAGCTGAAGAACAGGCTCTGGTACAACAATGGTGTGTTACATGAGGTTCTAGGTCAACTATTTGTGTAGTCTGCTTATAATTCCTGGCCCTGCGTTGTGACTTCTATTGTTATGAGTTGTTTCTAATTTGTTCTTGAGGTCTCTCTGTTAAGAGTTACCATAAGCCTAGATAGCCACTGTTCCCCTGACAGAAGAAAGAAGGAAGAGTCAAGTTTGGGCATGTCAGTCAGGTGAGACACAAGAGGAGGTGAAATCAAAGTACATGAAAGAGAAGAAATATATTACCTGCAGATCCCCGAGAGGTTAGGAGTCAGTATAGGAGCATGCTGATAGGAAATCTAAGAGCTTATTTACATGACTCTGTTGTTGACCATTAGGTTTTATGATGCTCACCAACTGTAGGATGTGTTAGATTTTGGATAAAGGCAATGAGGAACAAGCAAGCTATATTGCAAGCAACAACATAGGGAGGGAAAGTTTCAAGTAGGCCAAAGACATTGGGGTATAACCGGTTTTCAAACAACTTACATCAGGCCTAAAAATAGATGCCAAGGCAGCAACTATATTGCACAAATTTACAACACTCTGTTTATGCTTGGTTCTGTGTGTAGAAATTCTAGTTTGCAAGATAATTGCTGTTGGTCCTGAACCATCCTTATAAAAGAATCCAGCTCATGGTAAGCCATTTTGACTGCATAGTAACTTTATATTTTATTAGTAGTCATTTCTCAGCACCTAGAAAAACATCAGGATCTTGTTTTTATAAGGTGTGTAATATCGCACTGTAGATGTCATAGCCTTGCTCCAGAAATCTAGGAGCCTGATTTATATATTTCTATTGAGCTTGTGAGAAATTTCACACAGGATCTTTCCTCATCATTAATGCTTGTAATATCATAGGGTCTGCTGAGCCATGTGGCATAATAGGAAATGCTGCTTGTAGCACAGTATGGATATACACTTGCCTCACCTAGTATATAGCTCAGAATAGTATTTCCAGGTGTGGAATATGTTGACCAGAACACAAAGAAGCCTGCCAGACATTGTACTTTCTTCTTTGTGATCGGAAGTACCAAGTACAATAACAAATTATTTATTTTGGAATGGATCCCAAACATGCCTCAAAACTCTGAACACAATTAAACATTTTACTATATAGCAGATCTTTAAATTTGCATAGGGTTTATCACTCTCTTTCTGGAGCACATATTCTTCCCAAGGACTCCAATACACACAGCATTACTTGTTCATCCAGTCCAATCACATGACATCATAAAGATAATGGAACAATGAGATGTTCTTTGAGATGTCCAACAGGGTCACGTCCCCTCAAAATATATTAAAACAGAGAGTAGAAGAGTTAACATAGTCCTAGGAAAAGACTATTACTAGGCACTGTTGTCCAGTCCAACTAAGTGTGAACTGTTTCTAAAAATTATAATTTCACCTAACCAGTGATCACTTAATATATACTTGAAGTTGCCAGGTATGTCAAGTACTATATAATTCCAGTACCTTGAGATGCCTATAATCCCAGTACTTTGGGAAGCTGTAGTTCGAGGATCACCTGAGGCCAGCCTGGGCAACACAACAAGACCCCATTAAGCACTTGAAGCCATTTTGATCTGCTTTAGCAAAGATTCTGTATGTGGCAAAACCACTCCAACTGAAGCTATGATTTCATTGATTTTACAATAGTCTACTCTAATACTCTTAAGATCCCTCTGGTTTTTGCAAGAACCGGACTGGCACATTAAACAGAGATACAATGAGGATCATCACGTCTGAATTCCTTAGGACTTTAAGTGTGACACTGACTTTTGTCATCATATCCAGGATCTTTCAACTCACAGACCAGGAAATCAACATGTGGTTTGTGCCAACCACCAAGTATGTATTTCTCATTATATATTCAGAGACTGAAGAAATCATCAGCATGGATCTGAAGACTGTATTTGTTACCTGACCTCCTCCATATGCCATCACTCTGATAAGGGGCCACAATGACACTACAGATCTTAAGGTATCAATGTCAAGTCAGACACTGTGGTCAAAAATCCTTGAAATGTTTTTCCCAGCATAAAAATACTCAGTCATGGCTGGGCGCAGTGGCTCACACCTGTAATCCCAGCACTTTGAGAGGCCAAGGCGGGTGGATCATGAGGTCTGGAGTTCGAAACCATCCTGGCCAACATGGTGAAATCCTGTCTCTACTAAAAATACAAAAAATGAGCCGGGCGTGGTGGCACACACCTACAGTCCCAACTACTCGGGAGGCTGAGGCAGGAGAATCACTTGAACCGGGAGGTGTAGGTTGTTGCAGTGAACTGACATCACGCCACTGCGCTCCAACCTGGGGACAGAGTGAGATTCCGTCACAAAAAAAAAACAAAAAAGAAAAGAAATACTCAGTCATATAGCCACCGGTGCTTTGAAGAAGACCTGAGGGAATAATTACCATGTCCACTTCTCATGGCAATACAGATAGTTTTTCTTCTTGGGGACCCGGCCTCCCCTTCAACAAAGGTGCCTGGGTCTGAAAACTTGCTCATGACCGAAAATTGGGCAAGGAACAATGACTTCTTATTAGTAAGATTGCTCATCCTCCTGTTCATCCATCCTTTATTTATTTTGAATTACAGATAAAGTAGTACTTGCATAGACTGCTAATCTATTTTGACTCTGGAAATATCAGGTTCTATTAATCATCTTTATAACTCTTTGTCAGTCAGCCCTCCCTGGCCCACATCTGATCTTGACACTATTTATAATTGTGTGCCCATCTTTTAACAGTTTAGCACTTCCACCTGGCCTCTGTGCTTTCAGTGTTCTGTCATTCCTGTTAGTATCGGTGAACGCAGTTTTATAAAGATATCTTCTCCCTCAAGTCCTGGCCTAGAAAGGGAAGCAACCTATGAGTATCTTAGTGAAGTTGGTTCCCTTCTTCCCAGCAGTGTTCTTACTGATTTGGTGAATAGTGTAGCCTTTGTGTTCTCATGTGTCTGGATGTTTTTACCAGCTGTATTAAAGAGCCATCCTAGCACGACTATGTCTCTGAACCTTTTAATCCTTTTATATCTGTCATTCAAATTCTGGCATTTCTTCATTCAGTGTAGACCATCATTTTCCCATGTTTCTAGGAATCTTGCTGGAAATGTCTTCATACTATCCTCTGGTGTTATACCAGGGTGTTTAATTCTGTATACCCAGAGAGCGATCTCAAGTCTATAAGAGTCCTTTATTTAACCATGTGTTCTCTCCCTTGGTCAAGCACCTTCAGAATATAATCCCATGTATACACCACACCTGATGAGTGGTTCCTGCAGCTTCTTCGAAGTAGAGCCTACTTTCTTCTCTTATCAGGCCCAGCCTTGGCGCTCAATGGATTATGCTATGACCTAAACTTAATAATAAGAAGAGAAAACAGCAGAATATCCTAAAGGAGGCAGATATTGTCTAGTAGAGGAGAAGCTTCTCGATTGCTTTCTAGCAATGGGGGGATAAAAGAAACAGCTCTTATGCAATCACAGATAATTCAGAAGAATCTTAGAATTCAAGATTTTTACTTGCACATTGGTGTTTTCATCTCAAACAGGTTCCGACCTTGATATAGCTGATCTGCCTAGTTTTAAAACTTAAACTTCTTTGGGGTTTAGCTATTCTTATAATTGAATATTGGACCCAAACCTCAGTTCTCTATGCCCTTAGAACAAGAGACAAGATCTTCATTATATACTACTAAAGAACTGCTCTGGGTCTCATACTTAACTTTTAATTTCTAATTAACCACTCAGATTTCTTCTCTTGTAAAACACAGGTTAGCAATAGATACACAATTCCACTGCCCTTAAAGTACCATTTCTCCACATTTCCTTCATATTTCTCAAATACCAGGTATATGCATCAGTTAATGCATTCTTCTTCACTTGTATTCCATTCCAGCTTACTCATAGTGAGAATCTTAACAGTTACACTCGCATCTTGTGCCAGGGGTTTCTTTGCTACACAAGCATTAGTGATAATGTACTTGTGGACAGCTGACAATGGGTGACACAGCTCTAAAATATCATGCTTATATGTCTGTTCTCAGACCCCTGGCACAAATTTGGCATGTTGAATTCCCTGCATGACCAGTTCTAACATATATATAACATATATATATATATGGTTTATATATATAAATATATATCAATTTATAGAGGGTTTATTATGAAGCATTCTTGAGATTGATATTTGTGTAAAGAAATAGAAGGAAGAGAAATCAGAAAGGAGAAGCTGAGCTGTGATGCAGTCTCCATGGACATTTAGCCAACTCTATGAGTTTAGTATCTGGGATGAACTTTCAGTCTCCATGTACATTTCACCAACTCTATGAGTTCAGTATCTGGGATGACCTTTCAGAGTAGATTCAAGCTGGGAACTTTGCCTTTGTACCTGCATGTTGATCAGTCATTACATATGGACTTCCCTGGGAGGTGGTGTGACTGTGGATGATGTGGCTTTCTTCATTGTAGGTAGCTCCACAACTATGACAGTTATAGGCTTTTTGTTTTTCCCCCACAGCACTCATAGTTGCTTGAGGAATAAATCCTTCTTTTGTAAAAAAGGATCTGAAAAGCACATCATAATGTCCATTATGATTTAAAAGATGAAAACTAAAAAAATAATAAAACAAAGCCCTAATGGATTGAGATAAAAAAGATATCTATAGATTGGAAGTCAGGTGAAATTGAAAAACAATTATGGTATGAGTAATAGAGGAACCTTAATAGACCAGGTAAGACATTTTATTTTATTCTTAAGGTAATAATGAGGATTTACACAATGAGAAAATGCTCTGGTAAATGTCCATTTTCATTTACTGTATTTTTTTCTGTAAGTTCATGTTAGACTCTAGCAGAAAGAATAAAAAGTTTAGAAACATTTCTCTATGCCCTAGTTTGTTATATAAAATCAATATATTTAAATAAACTTTATATTTGTTGCAAAGAGTCATACACTCAAAAAGACAAGTACAAAAAACATATATTCAAATTACTGTTATAAAAATCTTTTTCCTTTGGAAGTATAATATTAGAAATTTCCCTCATGGATGAAAAATTTAAACATTTTTAAATTACTTGAAGAATTGATAGTTGATAAGAATCAGAAATTGTCATGTTTTTAAAAATAGCAGGAAAAGACAGATATGCAAGTGGTTGGTAGATATTACTGATGGATAAAAGGACACCTATTATATACCCACAGAAATTAAAAGAAAAAGAACCAAGAAGTCAAGCATAGTCAAGAATTATCCTAGACATCCACATACTTTAAGATTTTAACTAACTAATGAGACAAAATAGTAACTAAATTAACTCTATTGTTAAGAAATTAAATTTTTATATTGGCAAAATTAAATGGCAATTCACCCTTTCCAGCAATAAAACATTTATTTTGTTCATCTATTCTATTCACTTAAATGTATCACACATTTTCTAATATTTTTATTAAATCACAATTTTATTTACCTTGTTTATAAACTCAATATCATATGTAATATTAGCACACTATGTTGATATGTAGTGCTGTGATCAAAGTTTGCTATCTGATGAATGCACTATTACAATGTAAGTATGATAATGATTCAATACTTTAAAATCTCATAAAAAGGTAGTTTTAAAGACAATTATTTACACTGAATAATTTTAAATTTCTTTCTAATTATTATCCTTTGGTAGCTTTTTAAAAGCATGAATTTTGTACAATATAAAATTAAATAATTTAAAGGTGTTGTATTGACATTCAGTATGAAACAAATAAGATTTATTTGACCATCCAATCAAACCACTTGCTTTGTTACACATATTGTTGTAAGCCTGCAGAGATTTTATGTGTGTTTGTGTGTGTGTGTGTGTGTGCACGCACATGTGTGCATGTGTATGATCCCTTCTCTCATGGAGCTAAACTTCTACTGAGAGAAGACAATGTAAGCGGTAATAAGGCTATAAAAACATAATGAAGGAAGGCAATGACAATAGAGTATATGAGTCATAGGTGAGCTTTCTGATGATGGAATTTTTAGTAGAGATTCTCAGAGGGAGAGAATAAATCATGCAGATATATTTTGGTAAAAAAAAATTCTAGGGAGAGGGAAGACTAAGAGAAAAGGACTAGGTGTGGCCCATCTCAAAACAGTGACTAGTCCATCTCAAAACAGTGTAGAGACCAGTATGGTTGAATTGATGATTGAAATTAATTGTATGTATACCTCAAATGTGTATATATATACATATCTACATATATTTTATATACATGCTATATGTATATTAGATACAAATATTTATTATATAACATGCATATATTTAATATTCAAACTTATTTTAGTGAGAGTCATATTAAAATGATGAATGCCTAGTATATTTGGAGAATGTCGTGTAATTCTAATACATGAACTTGGAAAAATTCAAAAACAGATCTTGTCTGTTTTAAGAAAAGAAAAAAATATGGAAAATAATTTCTCTGATTTTAAGAATTCAGACTTACAGTAAAACAAACAAAAACTGAGCCACAATAAAATGTTTACTTCACTTTTATAGCCCTGGTGTTTCTCATATGAACTATCTTCTCATAGTAGGGATATGAAATGTTTTCTTTTCCTTTGAGATAGAGCAACTCAAGATACATGGATTTCAGAAACTATTTCACCGAGTCATTCAATTCCATTTATTTCAAATACCACTGCCTCAGGAGTAATAAATATGCAACTGCCTGTAGACACAATAAAGTATTTAATCTTGAGCAAAAGGTTGTTGAGTTGTTAAACATGAAAGCCAGAGAAAGTGCTTCTCTGCTCTGAGGAAAATAAAATTTTGTTCTGGATATTTGTGTCCAAAAATGAACAAAGAGATTAAGGCCAAATGTGGACATAGTCAGATTAAAAGGATTTATTGTATTCTGTGATGTTTTTAGGCTGACCCAGTAAAAGGTAATTCAATACTTTTCAGAAAGTAAATTGGTTGGAAGAAATAGATATGCAGGAATATAACTGTATAAATGCTAATATGTATACATATTTTAAGATTAGATGTTAAATGTGGGATAAAATATGATGAATAGGAATATTAGGTGAGCAGATAGTCTTTTTTTCACACCATTCCCTCACATCCTGCTCAAAGGAAGATAGACAAACTCACTAAAAAGCCTAAAACAAAAATGATCTGTGTTGAGTTTCATATGTGAGCAACTGTAACACTCACCACAATCTGCATATGTCTTATAAAGCCTGTGCTCATGCCCATCCTCAAAAGAGTACTACTACACCTCTAAGACTTATACAAAGTGTTAAAAACATTATTTTTCTTCTTCCTGGTCGACCTCAAAAATTCACTCTAATGATGATGAACATTTAAGATATGTTTTCTTCTCTCGTTCTGCTTTTAATTTGCTTTGTTCTGTTTAAATCCAACCTCTACGGGGAGCATGCAGAAGGGCAGATTGTGGGGCTTCAACCTTAGGACTGCATCTAGGGGTGAATGCTTACAGCTTCTGAAGCCCCAGTGGGTGTGTGTTACCATGTGCTCTTTTAGTTTTGCCATCCGTAGGCCGCTTGTGTTAGTCAGCTCTATTACAGCCCCCTGCCTTATCACAAGGACAGAGGGCTTTCTGTATCCGGGGGTTTCTTGCCTTGGTGTACCGGAAGAATCGGATCACACGGGGGCTTGGAGAATGAGTGCAAGGTTTTATTGAGTGGAAGTAGCTCTCAGCGGATGGGGGAACCAGAAAGGAAATGGAGTGGGACCGTAGTTTTCCCCTGGAGTCGGGCTACTCAGTGGCCGGGCTCCCCTCTAATCGTCCAGGACAAACTCCATGTAGTTCCACTGGTCAACGGCCAGCTGGCCTGCCGGTGCCTGTCGGTGTGCTCTTGGCGTCCTCTCGACGTCCAGCCGCTTGTGTGTTCTTTTGCCAGTGTGTTCGTCTCAACGTCCAGGTGCTTGTGTGCGTGCCCACTAGGGTCTCGGGGTTTTTATAGGCACAGGATGGGGGTGTGGTGGGCCAGGATGGTCTTGGGATAAGCAACATTTGGGCACAAAGGCAGGAGTGCCTGTCCTCACCTAGGTCCATGGGCACAGGCTCAGATGTGGAACCCTAGCCAGGGACCACGCCCTTCCCTTCCCAGCACTTCCCTGCCTCCTTTCCATATCATTATTAATCGCATTTTATAAACACTGGAAATAATTACAATAAAATTGGACAATAATTATGGTAAAATAAAACAACCTTCTGATTAACAATGTAATGGCTGGGGAGAGACTAGCAAAGCTAAGTAAACTATTATATGATTGCTTTCTCATTAGAGAGAAACATTGTCTGCCACCACTCTGTAAGCTGCAACCATTTGCACATGCTCTGGACTCTTCAAGTTGGCACAAAAATCACTTAGGAAGTTTACACTACATTCTAGACTGTGTTTAGCATACCTTTTCCATAATGTGCAGGATAACTCTCCTGATGGCCTTGAACTCACCCAGTTCTCCCCACTTTCTCACTTGTAGTCTTCCAAAATAACTGAAGAATGTGCTGGAATGCAACATCCTGAGATATGGAGGAACTCACTGGAGCAGCCTCATTCTGTTCCTTTCCTTCCTAGAAACAGAATGTTCTTCTTCATGGCCTACTATGCCATGAGATCCCCAAGGTATAAAACCCAATTCTGTCCGCTTTCTGGGGTCCCTCAGGTGTGCTGCAAGTGGGGCACAGCAGTAAGACTCTATCTGCCTTTAGCAGATGGAGTGGTGGGGAACCAGCTCATCATGAATCCTAGGCTTCTGTTGTCCCTTGCTTCCTATCTGGAAGTAATAAACCAACTTCATGTAACTTGTGGTATGAGTGAGTGTTCTGTCTCATTGGACTCGGGCTAGTAGTAAAAGTGCAGTGAGCTGAAGCCCAAGAAGAAATGAGCTGAAGTGGTAACCAGTGCACGGAAAACCTGTATCACATAATGTTTATACAAAGAGTAATTATTTTTGGCTTTCTATGAAGAATAGATATTTTAAATTTTTCAGGCTCTATGATCTCTGTCACAGCTATTCAACTCTGCTAATATAGAGCAAAGGCATTCATAGACAATATATAAATGTAGCTGTGTGTAAATTAAACTTTGTTTGCAAAACCACCTAGTGGGACAGATTTAATCTGAAAACCACACAGCTTGCCAATTCCTGTGCTTGATTAATCTATACAATATTGCTGGAAATAAGAAGTAAAAATCTCCCAACACCAGTTACATGAATGGAAATTAGTAATTGAGTCACATATACAATAATTAGTCAAATGACAACATCTGCTTTCTTTTTGAATCCTGAAATGTTTCACTATTAAAACTTCCATTAAGAATAAGTCTCCCATGTGTATTCTATTCTTCTCTCAATACAACTAAACTTCCATAAACAATAAGAATATCAGTACAATGAGTTACATATGTATCTGTTTTTAAATTTAAAATATTGAGGGTTCCACTTCTGGTATGGTTGAGTAAGTTCCTACTAGACCCAACCTCACACTGATCATTCTGAACAAAACACAAAGGCACTGGAGAGTGAACAAAGGCAGTAGATTACAGAGGGAAGTCAAATATTCATAGGAGAAAACGGCTAGGCATAGGTTTGCTATTGCTCACTGGCTTTAGTCTTTAAGGAAGACCTCTGTGGTACAAAAATGATGGTCAAAATAATGATAGAAAATGAAGCCTTTCCAGCCTAAAGAAACAGAGGATAGAGTTTAAGCAACCATTTATATTATAAAATGAAGGGTGAATCTGAGAGAGGCATGAGCCAAGGTGAAGAAGCCCCAAATTCTGCATATAATCTATGCTGAATTTCTGACTTACATGGGAACCATGGATACAAGAGACAACTTCCGGCTATCGATAAAATAACTAACCTGGTATTTGTGTAGCTGCCTGTAAGACAAAGCTAAATGCCTGCTAAACACACAAAGCAAAAAAATCAACAATTTGTGGAGTAACATCGTATTCACAGTTTTCAAGATGTGATGCAATTGTTTCACATACAAGGAGCTTGGAATGTATGCTATATTCCACAAAATAATAATTAATTTATAAAACAAAAACAAAATATCAGTAAAATATGAAAGATCTGAATAGCATTAATCAATTTGACCTATTTGATGTGTATACAACATTTCCCCAACAGCAACATGAAATTAAATCTCAAGTAAGTGAAAGAAAATAACTAAGATAAATGTAGAAATCAACAAAATAAAAAAACATTATTCGACAAAGAAAATTTGTTTTGTTGTAAAGATCAATAAATTTATAAGCCACTAACTAGATTGATCAAGAAGATTGAGCAAGAAAACAAATTACTTGTATCAGTGATAAAAGAATAGTTATCACTAAAAGTAGTATGGGCATACACAGACTAATAAGACCATATTATGAACAATTTTCCATCAACAACTTAGACTAAATGGACAAATTTCCTGAAAAGAGCAATTTACCAAAACTGAAGTGAAACAAAGGACAAAATCCAAATAACCCTGTCTAGTAAATAAATTGAACCCATTTTCATAAACCTTTCAAAGAAGAAAACTCCAGGACCAGATGATATCACTAGTAAATTATTTCAATCATTTAAAGAAGAAATAACATCAAATTTACATAAACTCTGTCACAATATAGAAAATGAGGGAATACTCCTGAATTCATAGAAAAATAAATAAAATAATGCTAGAAGCTAATAGGTCCCCATGAGCTAAGATTCAACATTTATTAACAATACTTTAGAAAATCAAATCCAGCAATACATAAATGGGGTAGTGCATTGTAGCTGAGAGGTTTTGTCACAGGAATACAAGGTTGAGTTAAATTTCCAAATGAATTGATGTAATTCACTGTATTAACAGAATAAAGAAGAAAAAGTACAAATTTATTTTAATAAGTGTGAAAGAACATTTGACAAAATTTTACACTTTTTCAAAATTAAAAATGTATAACAATTTAGTAACATAAGGAAATTTTCTCAGTCCGATAAAGGAAATGTCATTTATGAAAAACCTAGGGTTAACAGCACACTCAGTGTTGAAAACTTGAACAAGAAAAAAATGCCCATTTTCACCAATTCTGTGAATGTCTTAGACATTGTAAAAAGGTATGAAATAGAAATAAAAACAAAAGGTAAGAGAGGAAGAAGTAAACTTATTTGCACATAGCCGGCCTATTTCCATATAAAATTCTTAGGACTCTACAGCACAATTATTATAACTAACCAGTGAGTGAGTGAGATATCAGGATACAAGATTAATACTAAGAAGTCAATTGTATTTTAATGTATTATCAACAAAAATTTTAAAAATGAACTTTAGCAACTTCTATTGTATCATGGTCTAAAAACTTAATAGAAGAATAAATTTAACAAAATAAGTGACATGACATCTGTGCCAAATTTACAAAAAAACATAGCAGAAATTAACGAAGACCTAAATAGTGAGGGAAAACCATCATCATGAATTGTAAGATGCCATATTTTTAAAATGTTAGTTCCTCTCAAATTGATCTATAGCTTCAAAATAATACCAAGTCAAAATCTTAGCATTTTTTTGTAGAAATTGACAATCTGATTCTAAAATATATATGGAAATACAAAAATCATACAATATCTAAAGTGATCTTGAAACAACAAATCTGGAGGATTTAGACTAGCTGTTTTCTAGCCTTACTACAAAGCTACAGTAATCAAGAGAATATGGTTTTGGCATAAGAATTAATCTACCTATTAACAGAATAAAACAATCCAGAAATAAACCCATATTTACATGGTCATTTAGTTTTCAATGTAGGGACCAAAGCAAGCTGGTGGGGCAAGAAAAGGCTTTTCAATAAATGGTGCTGGAGTTACTGGAAATGTATATGAAAATAATAATTACCTTAATGCCTACTCACATTCTATGAAAAATTTAAATTGAGAAGAAACGTGCTTATACATAAACCATAAAACGTGTATTTTCTGGACTTGAAGAGTTCAGTAAATATATCTTAGACAAGCCACAGAAAATTTAAAAAAAGATAAATTAGACTTCCTCAAAATTAAAAACTTTTGCTCATAGATCTAAAATGTTAAGAGAGTAAGTAATGAAGCCACAGTCTATGTGAAAGTATTTGCAAAAGCATATCTCTGAGGAGGTATTGCTATCTAAGTATCATAAGATACTATGAAGATTCCGACAACTCAATACTAGAAAAGACAAACATTCCAATAATAGAAAGAGGCAAAAACTTTAATCAGATGCTTCACAAAAGTAGATAAACAAACGGCTAATAAGCACCAGGAAAAGTGTCAAGAGTTCAATATTATAAGACTTCAGAGAAATACAAATTAAAAGCATAATGAGCTACCACTAAATATCCACCAGAATGACTAAAATTAAAAAGATTTACATCAAGTGTTGGCAAATATGTAGAACAAACAGAACTTCCATATATTCTTGGTGGGTTTGCAAAATACTAAAACTAATTTGAAAACAATTTGACCATTGTTTATAAAACTACACATATACCTACCCTATGATTCAGATTCAGCAATTCTAATACTAGGTATTTGCTCAAGAGAAATGAAAACAAATGTCACAAAAATTTGTACAAGAATATTTGTAGCAGCTTTTTGATATTAGCCAAGAACCGGAAATAACCACAATGTCCATTAATAGGAACATTAACAAACCATGTTACATTTATACAATTATGTGTGTATGAGATGGAATCTCCCTGTGTGGCCCAGGCGGGAGTGCAGTGGCAGGATCCTAGCCCACTGCATTCTCCAACTCCCGGGTTCAAGTGATCCTTCTGCCTCAGTCTCCCAAATATCTGGGATTAGAGATGTGAGCCATTGTGCCTGGCTCCCAAAGCTATAGTTTTTATTCAGCAGTTGAAAAGAAACAGACTTCTCATACACTCAACAAAATGGAAGAATTTCAAGAATGTTACACTGAATAAAAGAAGCCTATGCACAAATGTACCTACTGGATGATCATTTCATACTTATGGACTTCTAGAATAAACTAATTGAATATATGGTGAAAAATAACCATTAACAATGTTTGCCTGGCAGGATGGCAGAAATTGATGAGGAAAGGGAAAGAGACAGCTTTCTGGGGGTGATGATGATGTTCTATTAATCGGTAAGGTTTTACGTCATGTAGATGTGTGCCAAAACCCAGAGAATGTATACTAAAATGTGTGTATTCCATTTTACATAAATTAACATAAAAAACCTCAACAAATATTAAAGCCTATTTAATGATATACATTCTGGACTCAAGAAAAAATGGTCATATCGTTTCTTAAAAATGTCATTTGAAATGCATAAAAAAACTTAAATTTGGTCAATGGATGAATACATGGATAAATATATGATAAATCAAACATAGTACAATGAAGATAGGATTTAGATGATGGGTATACAGAATGTCTAGAAAATGTTTCCAACTTTGAAAATGTGTATAATAAAATAATGAAATACAATCAATTATTAAATTAATGAGCATGTTTTCTGATTTCAGTTTGTTCTCATAGCCTGGAATTTTGTCCTTTTTCAACAATTATTAGCTTGGGTTTGGCAGTAGTGCTGAATTAATAACAATAGTATCAATTGCTATTGCCTACTGTGCAATTGTTCAAGCAAGGCATCTTGTACCAGTACTTATTTTTCTTTTTATGACAGGAAACACAACATGAAGTCTCATTTGCAAAAACATGAAGTCAGTAGAAACTTACTATCCCGAATAAGAGAATCTATCCTGGCTTCTTGAAAGTTGTATCACCCCTCTTAACTATTGGTATGCATTAATATATGGGAAGGGATAATATATTAGAATATGTATTAGGAGGATTTTATTGAAAGAAATGAATAAAATTATGGTCTATTTCTCCTTGACAATTTATTTTATCAGAATCTTTTGAAAGTTAGAGATGATTCTAATTGAGGCTCATCTTGTAGCCCAAAAATGTATCAAGGGTCCTAAAAAAAATTTCCCTAAAGGAAGCTGTGATCTGGGTTGGTGATCTGCAATCCCATCAAGGATGTAGGGTTTTGAGGGGATTCCAATCTCAGACACAAAATAGAGGACAAGCCTGGATGCAGCCCTAGGCTTAATTACCTGGCAAAATGCCCTGCTTTGAGGATTAAGGTTAAGTATATAAAGGTGAACTAAAATTGCTGTAACCTTGGAACATGGTACAAAGTTGCAAATTAGGAAATGAAATGGAGCTTTAAAGGTCATGTCAGGACTCTTTAGAAAGGATGTTCCACAGTGCAGTGAGGCAACAATAAATTATAGATTCTGGAGGATAGATCATTATTTATAATCACTTATCTGTCTTATATCTTTTGTCAGAAAGAAGGACCTATTTATTTGACTTGACTTCCAAACCCTTGGTCCCAGGAAAATAAATGGGGCCACATGATGGAGCACCGATTACCACGTTCAAGCTGCAGGGCCTAGGTTCAATCAGCTACCCTGATAGAGACTCGGATTCCTCCTTGGTAGAGTGGGGATAATAATGATCATAATAAAGTGTTATTGTTGGAAGTAAGTTGAATTTCAAAACACTCTTTGAATTTAACACATAACATAAATATAAAGATTAATTATTTGAAATGTGAAGTCAAAAGAAGATTCTTAAAAATTATGACATCTTTCTTCATTTCAAGACTCAAATGTGTTTTTGCACATGTTGTTAACAAGACAAAATGGGTGGAACTCAGTGATTTGGTATATTTTCTACGTCTAGAATCATAGCATAGGAAGTTTTAGTAATAAAAACTATTCTCCACAATATATTTTATTTGGATTACATAAATAACATCAAGAATTTCTTTATTTTAATGTATTTTATTTTCCTAAAAATCTCTCATGAAGTTTCAAAATTGCTTCAACCCTTCTGAGATCAGGATGTAAAAAAATGTTGATTTAATTAAGATTTGAGTGATCTCACAAAGATAACAATTTTCAAAAAGACATTTTTAAAACAAAAGTCACTTATTAGAATTAAACATCTAAAAATAAATCTGCCTCGTTGCTAAAATTAAGATTATATGACATGACTAACCAAATAGGCTTTATTTTTTTCAATAAGTTGACATATTTTTTTCTTTTTCACTTTAACTTTACCAGTTGGGATTATATCCTATGATCTATCAGTGCATTAGTTATGAAAAAATCTTAGAAGATGTTTGAGACAAATTGAAGTATAAGAGATGAGGAGATAGGATACTTTACAAAGTAATCTCAGAACATTGTTCAGTGCTCTAGGAAATATTTTCTTTCATCACTGGGCTTTAATCCATTTTCCAACCTAGAACATTTGAAGCTAAAAGTTCTATCTAGGAAATTGCATAAACTTTTTTCACTTCTATATTGAAAACATTCACTTGAAGGATGTTGTAGGGTAGCAAAGAAGTAGTAAGAGGCTACTCATAGAGTACAGTAGTCTTATTCCTTTTTAATTTGTTGTGGCCAACTATTTCTGCCACACCTGTGAGGAACTGAAAGGTTTATCTACTGTTCGTTTTGGGGGTTTCATTCACTTCTCCCCTAGTCCCTAATTTCTCCACAGAGAATGCTAGCTTCTAGCATTATTTGCAGGAAAAACAATTAACCACATTACTAAAATAAAGATGAATAATGTAATTTCCAACGTCATCTAACAATTATAGATTAATACTATACTATCCATTTAGACAGTCCCTTAATTTTATGGATCTATTTTGTGAAATAAATGTTTGCTTTCAAATTTTTTTTTCAACACAGAGAATTTGAATTTGGTAAAATGAGTTAGAATGTCACAATTTGAGTAAAGAAATGGAAAAGGATGAAAGAGACTTTTACTTTCCTTTTTATTTATTTCCCTTTTCTAAGAGGAGTCCCTCCTGACATTTCAGAAGCTGTATATTGTCTGGTGTTTGTAAACAAATGGGAATTAAATGCCAGCTCCATGCCACATTATATTAACTGAAAGTAAAATCAGTTTAATTTTTTTCCAATTGAGTTCAATCTCTGTGACCCTTTGTCCTTCAGATTTAACAAGGAGAATGGAGTTCATTTAGATCAGAGAAACTTCAGAGAAACTTAGCACCACAGAAATAACAGACCCCTTTACTCATTGAGCCAGTATACTGTCAGAGCTAAACTGATAGTTTTATAAAAGGTTGTTTATTGTATTTAAATGAAATGTAAAAGCCTATGCATCTCTTCACAGCTGAGATAGCTAATATGTATGAAATAGAATTATAATGTGGCTTTCTTGGAGAGTTCAGAAAAAATTGGTTACAAATAAGTCTCAAGTCCAACAACATTAAAAAGTGTTTCTATAATCAAAATGAAAAGGGAAAGATATGAAACCTATTATTTGTAACTGAAAGCATCACATCAATGGCAAGAATGTGATATCAGTTTCATGACACCTATTTATACTATGCTTAATTACAAGGTCTATTGATTTTTATTTGGAAAGTGAAAGATTTTTAGTCGATACAACATCCCATCTTATCTCATAAAGTTGTACTAATGTATAATATATGTAATATATTAAAATATTTTAAAATGTTAATTTTATTATTTAATTGGTTGCTTTTAACATTTGACTATAGTAAGAGCATAAGTAGAGTCCTGATAGAAGAAGCTACAGTGATAAAATTTAACAGATTCAAAAAGTGATTTAATTGTTGTACACAAATCAGATTTAAAAACAATATTGACTAAAGAAACCCTAAATTATATTACATATTTAAAATTTTTATTAACAACCCAATGCGTATAATTACTTTAGAAGAACCCCAACAATACCAATACTGATAAGGAATTCTGCTCTTTTTTCAATTAATTAATTGCTGGAAATTCCAAGTAAAATTGTCATAGACAGGAACATTTTCCAAAGACTTGCCATCTCTGTGACACATAGTTTTAACATTCATAATCCCATATAATATTATTCCATCCTAAACATCTGGAATCTACTTGCATCATGTTCCCAAGCTTTTCAATCTGTTTTTCTTACATTAAAATGTCACTTACAGCTTTATAAACCCTCACACGAGTATGATCATTAGTATTTTACATTTGAGACTGGAAAGAATCAGAGAGATAAAACAATTTGCTAAAAAGCACATGGTTACTAAGTGTTACAATTACATCCAAGTTTAAATTTCTTATGCCTGTTAGACAAATCTCAATTTCTCTGATAAACTATATTAGTTTGTTTCCAAATTTTAGCCTTTATTAGAGAAATAATAACCTTTGAGAAATAGACATTAGTTTTGACATTGCTTGGCTTTAACTCCTTATTTTCCAGAAGTTAACTGAAGGACAAATGATTAAGTGACTTAGTGCTGCTTAATGTTTCCTCTGCTCTTTCATTGTTTCTGTTTTCCTTCTTGTTGAACAAAAGTTTCTCAGTAGTTACTTTAACAACATGTTGCAAGTAATAATACCAACAGTAATAACAACTGCAGAGCAAAGAGAAACTTTGGCAAATTAAAAACAAACAAAAACAAAAACAAAAAACTCCACAGATTGAAGAAACAAATTCAAATATAGCTGGCTGTGGTGGCTCATGCCTGTAATCCAAGCAATTTGGGAGGCTGACGTGAGCTGATCAGTTAAGGTCAGGAGTTCAAGACCAGCCTGGGCAACATGGTGAAACCCGGTCTCTTTTAAAAATACAAAAATTAGCTGGGCATGGTGGCGCACACCTATAATTCCAGCTACTTGGGAGGCTGAGGCACAAGGATCGCCTGAACCAGGTAGGCAGAGGTTGCAGCGAGATGAGATGGCATCACTGCACTCCAGCCTGGGTGACAGAGTGAGACTGTCTCAAAAACCAATCAATCAATCCATGAATGTATATATATTCAAATATAGATGCAATAAAAATAATTGCAAAGAGATTAGACTTATGAAAAAATACAGAAAGTCACATAGTGGAAAAAATCATTAAATTAAGAAAAAAAACCCCAGCTTTATGTGTATATAGGAAATGCAGTATATATTACATGCAAGGATATAGGAAGGTTGGAAATGGAAAGATATACTTGACAAAGATTATTAAAAAGAGCTAGTATTACATAATAGCATTCAATCAGTTAGGCTGTTAAATCATTATTTTTATATTTACCCTGGAGAAACTACAGAAGTCAAAAAGAAGCTTATATCTGAATAAATCACAACCACACATACACAGACTCAAACACACACACTGATAGGGAAACTCCCCTGGGAATACACATGGCTGTTCTGAGCTGGCCTGTGTGTTGCAGGGGTGGGCTGTGGGATAGGAGGCAGCCTAGGGCTTAGTGAATCCAGAAGCAGGAGTTAAAGGGTGGTTCAATGATAGAAGCCAGTGGTTGCTTTGGCATGTTTCCAGCATTACAGAAGACAATTATTGCCTATTTACTTACCCCCTACATCTGCAGCTATAGCCCAAGCAGCAGTGTTTGTAAAGAAATATCTAGCAGTGTATAATCCTTGGTGGGAGTAAGAAGTTAAATGACATAGGATCAGATGGGATCATTAAATCCTCAACATCATTCCTCTACCCACTTTACTTTAAAAAACTTTTTTTTCTTTTTTTTTTGGAGACGAGGTCCCACTATGTTGCCCAGGCTGGTCTTGAACGCCTGAGCTCAAGTGATCCTCCTGCCTTGGCCTCCCAAAGTGCTAGGATTACAGGCTCAAGCCACTGCGCTTGTCCAGTGCCCACTTTACCCTAAGGCTCCCAAGGCTGATTGTCAATAACTGTGTCTTCCTGTTCTATATTCCTCCTTTTTGGGAGTTTAAAGGTGAATCCCTGAAGAGTTGCCTTGTGAAACAAAATCAAAATAGCCTAGTCATCAGTTCTTTGTTATCTGTGGTATTTGGAGCCTCTGCACTGATTCACCTCATCTATGATGCTTACTTTGCCTGACAGACACAGACCGTACATAAGCTATTTCCCAGACACACCAGAAATAATGTTTTAACAATCATTTGGGCATCATTTAGGACAGTCAAGTTGACACATAAAATTACCCATCACAACAAGTGTTTAATGTACTTAAAGCATAAAACTTAAATGTGGATTGAACAAAAACTTTGTTAGAATGATTCATTCCTTAAATTACAATAACAAAAGTATATTTAGAATAGAAGTACTGCTATATTCCAGAGATAGTAGTAGGCATAAAACATTTTATTACCTAGAATTTGTGTGTATTTTTAAGTTAAAGCATGATATTCTAAGAGACTTGATTGCTCTGTCTTATTATTTTATGACAAGATTGACTGTAGATCTCTCATAGAAAAGATGGCTTTCTCTTCTGCCAGCATTCTAGTTAAGCACACCCATCCTGCTGCCTGCTTTCCATTAACATATTGAACTACTTCAAATCTGTGGTAGAGTCAGGCTTTCTCCTGGTATCTATTCTCACATTCTTTCTCAGTAATGGAGCTCTCAATAACTACCCAGAGCAAAGCAACCTGAAGCTCAATGGTCATGTGGCCATGTTCTAGCTAGTAATATAAAGCAGTTATTGTGTGTAAAATTTAGGAAGTGTTCTTAAAAGGAGGCACTGTCTTTTGTTTCCCTTCTCCTCCTTCTCCTTCTTCTTCTTTTCCTTCTCCTTCTTATTTAATCCTTCCTTCCTGTTACATTTTACATAAGAGATATGGGGGGAAAGTTCAAGGAATTGTCTGGGATCACGAAGTAGAAACGATTTATTATCTCACAGTTTCTGAGGTTGGGAGTTAGGAAATGATTTAGGCTGGGCCTGTGTTGAGGTTCTCATGAAACTAATCAAGATGTTGACTGTAGCTATGGTCTCATCTAATGCTCAGGGTCCTTTTCCAAGCTCTTGTGGTTGTAGACAGGATTCAGTTCCTAGCAGTTGCAAAGCTGAAGTGCTCTGCTGCTGGAGACTGCTCATCATCTTGTACCCTTCTCCACAACATGGCAGTTTACTCTTTCATGGCCAAAAAGCCATGAAAAGTCCCTACTGTTTCAGGTGTCTAACTAAGGGAAAGCCTAGAATCTTTTTAAAAATAGCTCGGCTAATTAAGACCTACAAAGGATACGTTCTCTTTTGATAACTTGAAATCAAGATATTAGAGACCCAAATTACATCTGCAAAACCCCTTTTCCTTTGCTTATTCTATAAGTTACAATGACATCACCATTTTTGCCTAGATAACAGGATTATACATGGCATGTACACTAGGTAGCAGGAATCTCATAGCCAGTAGTAGAATTCTTCCTACCACACTGACAAATTTATGAAACCACAAAATAACGTATGGGACCAGCCATGGACCGCTGAAATTTGGGTTTCTTTTATACAAGGAAGAAATATTTATATTTTCCTTATACTGCTGCTATTGTGTTTTGACCACTTGTAGTCAAAGCTAATTCTCACTGATACAATGCTTATTTTCCCAGCCCTTTTACAGAAAACAAACAGCAATACCACATAGCTGCTCACTTCGGGCTCCTAATTTTCTCCTGAAAATGACATCTCCTTCCCTGTGACTTTGTTAGCTATTTGTTAGATAATACAACTGAGTTGGAAAACTTATATGTAAAATTTTCTTCTCTTGTCTGTAAAACAAAGTTCTAGCTTAGACTTAGCTTTATTAAAATATTTTCTAACTTACCCTGACTTGGCTCAAAGTCATAAAAATTGACATTTTTTTGACATAAATACCGGGGAAAACATTTGCATTATGTTTTCCCCTTCCCCCTTCAGCTTGTTTTCCTCTCACTTTAGCTCCCATTAATAAAAAACAAGATTATTGGCAACAATAAATGCAGGACATGAATTTAGCATATTATTCTAAGGGAGGAGTTCTAGTTTATCTCATTTTTTTTAGTACTCCTGGAATAATCTGCTGCTTAATTGAGAAAAAGTGAAACAAAAATATAAACATTGTAGGAGACAGGATAAAGCTGAGAATGTCTTAATCACCTATAATTTTTTTTCCATAACTTTCATGTAATTTATGGTGGTAAATGATGAACAGCCTCCATTTCTCATCTTGCCCCACTGCCTTTGTGGAGGGTCTGCTGGTTGTATTTTTTTTGACTTCCTCACATTTTCCAGGACCTTAACTGTGAACTCAATTTTCAGACATTGCAGGATTTATGTTTATCCACACTGTCTCTGAGAAATTTTCCCTCATGAGCTTGAGTTCCTCTGAAAGTCAAAATTCCTAAATAGATAACAGCTTTAGATTTTTAAAAAAACATACATGGAAATATATGGTTAAGGCAAGCACAAAAACTGGTGTGTGTGTATAATCCTGCCGATTCTATTAGCTTCCACAAGTCTCCAACTTTTGATAGTTAGCAATATTCCTGGGAAATACCCTAGTGAATCCCATTACATTTTTCTCATGAATGAATTGCACACAGACACTTTGAAGAAAGAAAACAGGAAGTAAAATTTGGGAAGGTTTGAATGAATGCTTCTAAAACCATCAACTAGATTTCTTGAAAAGAAACATGAAACAATGCTTTTGGGAAATAATGTTGAATATAATAAAAAAATGCTCACTTGGAGTTTATAAACCAAGAGAATCTTTAATTCCTCAACGATTTCATCTCATAGAAACGATGATACTATCCTAAATATAGTCATTTCAGGATTAATATACTTTCACTATATTTATTTTTATTCAAAGTTTTTCTGTATCCGTAGTGAGCTTATGTAAATATCGAATTCAAGTTTATTTCAAAGTTTTCTTTAACATATTGACCAGTAAAATTTGAATAGAATTTCAAAGACAAGGCAAAGTTCAGAAAACTGAAATGATGTAAAACCTGAAGTAGATGGATTTAATACTACTTTGAACATTAAATATACCTAAGAATTCAGCATTTTAAAAATAACTCTTTGGTATTTATAAAATTAAAAAACACTCAGTCCTTTATTTTCTTTTCAATGGCTACATATACATGATCTGTGAAACATATTAAATATGGTAGCCCCAGTGCATGCATTCATCAGTCATATCAGCTAGGGTTCCATTAGGAAAGCAAGACCACTATGTGTAAAAATCACTATCATAGAAATTAAGTCTTACACCATTTAAGGAGAAACTGAAGAATTAGAAAATAAGGAAATGGGAAAAAAAGATCATTAAACATCCCTGTGTGGATGTAAAAGTCAGAGCTTGCAGGACGCTGCTAGAGCAGAACCACGAAGCAGGTGAGTATTGTTAGTTCTTTGTTGCTGCTATCTCTGAGTTTATAGCTAAGTATCTAGTTGGTCCACAGGGCCAGAAATAGCTGAGGAGAACTGGTCATGGAGCAAGGAAAAGAGAACAAATTGCAACTGCACCTGTTTCTTCTCACTGCCTTAGACGATAAGTACTTTCAAAATGCGGTGGTTTTCGTTTCATCTTCTCCTCAGTCTCAGAAGAATATCTCTTACAGCCAATTTTTACGTAAAACCACACAAGGAAGGAGACTCTGGGAAGTATCGGATATTTTCAGCCTAAACTGACGAAATGCAAAATTACCCAACAAACCTGCTGCTGTCCATCTTTTCAGGGTGAAATCTGCCTTGTGATCATTTAGCTTAAACAACTCTCTGCACAGATGAGGAAACTGAGTGGCAGAGAGGATCAGATAATTTCCCAAGGACATACCGAGAGAGTTGATGCTTCAACAACTTTATCACTTTAAATCTCAGCTCAAGGTCTTCTTTACAAACACAACAATGTTAACTTTCTGCACTTAGGAGTGGGACTGTAGATTAATTCAGTGTCACTGTAAAACTGATAGAGAAAAAGACAGTACTAAATAAGGCACTTTACAGATTGTGTGGCACTAAAGTCTGCGTAAATTTTCCTGCTAACTACTGTATCTTCCAGAAACAATGTAAAATACCTTTTTTTCTTCTGTCAATCTTCCATTTATAACAGATCATTACAAGAATTTTCTTGTAAGTCATTTTAAGGCATCTCATCATTTTATATTATCCTTGTCCACATTGTACTGTAAAAATTATTGAAGGTTAATGCATCTATACTTTGAGTGACCAAGCTATGTCTGATGATTTTAAATATGATGTCACTCTTTTCCCCTGCTATAATGATAAATTTACATTATAATTAACAGCCAAATAATTTCTTTTTATGCCATATAATGATGCCTTCTTTCAGCTTTGCATTTCAGACAGTACATAACAAGTCACAGGGGAAAAATCTTTAGTTTTAGTATTCTCACATTTATGTATTTAATGAACATTATTGAATTTTTCAAGTACTTATTGGAATAGAGGAGAAATATTTGTGCATATTATTTATGTCAGTCTTAGAGAATGCAGCATTTTGCTGATGCTGGAATGTTAATAATTAGCACCTCTGTTAGAAGTCAGCACCTGATTTTCAGCAGCATTATGCTGGGAAGCTATGTTTCCCAAGTGAATGAAGAATTATACAGTTTTATTAAAGAAGAGCCTTTCCTTTGAATACAATTTTAAGAAAATCTTCAAAGGAACAAATTTAAAGCCTCAAATCAGAGTACAGCACTAATTAGTGTGTAACAATGATTTAGGCGGAGAGCACCAGGCCTTGTTAATTTTCCAGGCGCATTCTGTAGTCTCTTTGCTGTATGTTTCTTTTGATGAGTCAATTTTATCTAGGTGCAGCTTTTTATATTTTAAATACTGTCATAACACTTCTAAAGTTTTAGAGAATGGTACATACTGATGCTGAAATCTGGCAATTATCTTCTAACTTTGCATTCCAGCAACTAATTTTATGGCTCAGATTAAATTGCTTAATTCAATTTCAAGTATTTTGCATTTCTAATATTGCTTTAAGTGGCATGTCTCTGAATAAAATAATGTAACTACCTATTTGTTTATGTAGCTTTCACACAGAAATAAAAATGTGCATCAATCATCAATTATAAATCAAGTTATTTAAGATTCAAAGGTGTCAGGAGTGTGAGTTCCCTTGATCATGTTCTATCTTGCGATGCCTTTTAGAAATTATAAAAGTTAAAATATCAGCTTGCTAATTTTAAAGTGCTATGTTCTACAAATGAGTTATCAGAATAAACTGTTTTCTTCATTTAGTAAATAGTGAGGTATTGATCTGAAAATGTCATGGGAAATTAGAAAACAGTAACACCAGAATGTCATATAGCTATGATTTATGACTTTACCAATGTGAAGTAGAAATTGATTACTATTAAGGTCAATATTAAGATTCATTGACTCAAGTATACATAGTGGCTAAGGCTAAAGTGAGAATCAATGCTTACATCAAGAAACTATGTATCTTCCTATGGTTAAAAATATGCCAATATATCCTGTCATCCTGTTATTAAGTATTATAAGAATCTAATCTTTGAAGCATGATAAATATTTTACAATTGAAAAATCATCCACTGCTGCTTATATTGGTCTCTACATCATCAATGATAGAATATTAGATTATTTCAATTAAAAATTGGCATTCATATCAAATACAAATGAATCCTAAGTACAGTCTTCTTCTAAATTATTGAAGAATCCAAACTCCCTTATATAGCACACCGAGGAACATATTATCATAAAATTCACACCAGTGCAAACAGCTACATTCTCATTCTGAAACAGCTTGGAAAATAGGTATAACTGAATGAATATATAACTAAATAAAGTAAAATAAAAATGACATTTGGAGTTAAAAGCTACAGACTTATAAGGCAGATATGTTAGAAAAACATATATAATTTATACTAGTTTAAATAACTGTGCTATATTATAGCCCAGCTTACCTAATATTTCTTGTGTATTTAAATTAACATTTTAGACAATTCTAGCCCTCTTCACTTTTCCGAAGCCCTTTTCCTCCATTAATTTGCTAGTTTCTTTTTTAAAAAATTCTACTTGTGATTGTTTCTACTTTAAGTTAGATCAATATACTTGTCTTTTATGGATGGTCACATGACTAGCAGACAGAACATACCATTAGAAATTATAGCTGAACTCGAACAGCTTATAAAAATGTTTATTGAGCACTTGTTATTGCAAGGCTTATATGTAAGACACTTAAAACAGCAAATATGATATTACACTGGACATCCTAAAAGCAATAGCAGCTGCAGTTACAACACAGAAATAAGAGAAAAAATAGAACCATTCCCCAGTGAATGCTTTTTAGACTATGGTGCTAGAATCAAAAGGGTTCAATAAAGATGTCTTGGGAACTACCAGGGTTAGAAGATAGGCAGCAAGGATACAGCATTATGTAATAAGTATGTGATAAGCAATTACATATTTATGCAATTACATAATCATTGTGGCACTCCTTTAAACAGTACAGTACACTTCTTTAAAAAGAAATATAAAAACAAGTGGTTATAATAAGATACTGGTAACCTACATAGTGTTAGTTCAAAATCCTGAGATTATCATACATAAGTGATTCATAGATTTATATATTTAGTGTCCTCAAAAACCCGCTAGAATTTTCCAATATGGTTAATTTGGGGCAGGCATGGTGGTTCATGCCTGTAATCTCAGCACTTTGGGAGGCTGAGGTAGGAGGGTTTTTTGAGCCCACATGTTCGAGACCAACTTAGGCAACAAAGTGAGACCTCATCTTTACAAAAAATAAAATAATTAGCCAGGCATGCTAGCGAATGCCTGTAGTTGCAGCTACTCGGGAGGCTAAGGCAGTAGGATAGCTGGAGCCCGGGAGATCAGGGCTGCAGTGAGCTATGATTGCTTTCCAGCCTGGATGACAGAGCAAGACCGTGTCTCAAAACAAAGCAAAACAAAACAAAAGAATAGTGTTAATTCTAGTTCATATAAAAATACAAAATAGGAATAGAATTGACAGTGGTGGAATAAAATAATAATAGAATAGACCATAGAGCCAAACACAGTATTCAACTATTGAACTGCTAGATATACCTGCTTGACAGAGTATATGAATAAAGTCTGTTGTGGTAGTCAGAGTTCTCCAGAGACACAGAACCAACAGCATATGAAGGAGAGAGAGAGAGAGACAGACAGAGAGACAGAGAGACAGAGATATATTTTTAAGAGTTCTTTCTGGCTTGGAGTTGGGGGAAAGGAAGGCCTTCAACTTATTGGATGAGGTTTACCCATATGATGGATGGAAATCTGCTCTACTCAAAATCCACTGAATTAAATGTTAATCTCATCCAAAAAAAACCCTCAAAGAAACATCCAGAATAGTGTTTGACCAAAAATCTGGGTACCATAGTCCAGCCAAGTTGACCCAGAAAATTAACCATTACATCTGTCCTATTGATGTTATGCATTATAGGGCACAATATAACTCTTCTTAATGGTTTGATTTTGCAACTTACGTGTCTTTCATCAAACTGTCATAATTATTTTATTGCTAAATATTAAGTGAAATATATTAAATATGTCAAAGGCAAAGAATGGAAGACAAAAGAAAACACATTCAAGAAACTAAATTGTCTTAATAATAAATATAAATTTATATATTTATTTCAAAATTAAAATAAATAGTTACATGAAAATTATAGAATATCATTAAACTGGTGTCTAAACATTCTCACGTCTTAAGGTATACATTTAGACTCCAAGTTGAAACAAGTTAACCTGTTTTAAACATAATTAGAATCTCAGAAATAAAATAAGTAGAAGGTATTTTCTTTTCTTATTAAATGTATTGATATTTAAATTTTTCATATAGCTAAATTATAAATTAATTAACCCAATAGTAAGAAATGCAGAGTAAAAGCAAGTCAACACCAAAGTATGGAATCAATAAAGATACCATAACCTGTTTAAAATCATTAGTTATTATTATATAAATCCACATCTAAAAACTAAACCTTAAAAATAAACATTAAAAACTATTAATTTATGTCTTTTATCAGTTTGTTCTGGGTAATAAAATGAAGCTTTAAATACGAAATAGTGTCAAAGTGTTTTAGTTAACGTAGTTTTATTTCCATAATTAAAAATTCAGCACTCTATCATATTTACCCTGGAAGGCCACCATGAGCTCATTATGAAGTCAGGTGTCAAAGATACAATCACTAATTCAAAAATTCTTAAAGCTGCTACTAATTGCCAGCTACTCTTTTATATACTAAGGATAGTTTCTGAACGAAGCAGATCCAGTACGTTTTTTTGTCAGGAAAACAGACGATTAGCAAATAATGCACCACTTCTATATAGTTACAATTGTGGCAAGTAATAGCAAAGAACCTCCAATCTGACCAGGAAAAAGTACCACAGCTGGTGGAGTAAACTACCTTAGTTACTGGCGTATAAACCGAAACTTTTGTATATCAGTTACATATTCCACAAAGGGATGTAGTTTATGCCTTTGAAATGCCCCCTTTCCAACTTCTGATTGTGTCCAACTGAGAGACGAGCTTGCTTTAGGCTTTTTCAGGATCCTTAAAACAACAATAGTTACACAGTGTTGTCAGAATAGGCTATAGACAAGTACAGTTAAAAAAATTGATGTAGCAATTCAAATTTTTTTGATTTTTAAGCATAATCAGAGCCAAAAGATAGAATAAGAAAACTCACCTTTAAGGATTTCTGGCATAAAAATGTACTGGAAGAAAGAATATGGCAATGTGCAAAAAAAGATGGTAATGCATTATTTTCTCTCTAATATAAAATGTAGATATTATTGCAGGGTGGCAGTTGTAACACAGTTGACAGAAACACTCTGATATGTATTAGATTGGTTATGTTTGTGAACATTGCATCCCAAATAAAGACAACACATTGAAATAGCAATGCTCAAATTCAGGTCTTTCTCTGGCCAATTCATTTGCCTTTAATTATTAAAGATTTTTTTCCTGCAGATAAAACTGATCAAGTAATCTGAGATCAACAACAAAGCATGGAATCAATAAAGGTACCATAACATGTTTAAAATCACTAGTTATTATTATGTAAATACACCTTAAAAAACTAAACCTTAAAAATAAGCATTAAAAAACGATTAATTTATGTCTTTTATTATTTTGTTCTGGGTAATAAAATGAAGCTTTAAATATAAAATAATGTCAAAGTATTTTATTTAATGTAGTTTTAATTTATATTAAATTATAATAGCCTATGTCTTAATGGAAAGTCTTGGAAAGTGTTAAAAAGTCCTCATATTCCAATACTATTCATCAATATAATAGAAAAGTTATTTGAGCATTTAAAGAGTAAATTGCTCTTTAAGCATGTAAAGAGCAAGAAAACAGTATAACAAAAATCATTATCACTTGATATAAGGATAAATGGATGGATGGACTGGTAGTTACATAGTGGGTCAGTGGAAATGCTAATGACTTTTGTTCTTTTAGAGTGAGAAGTTGAGCTATTCTTACCCCCCGCATTACATGGCAGTCCATAAAACTACTTCTACTGTTTGAGCATATTGAACTCTCATCTTTTTCCGCTAATAGTTCCCAACTGTCTGATGTCTCACTCTTCTCTGACCCTGTTACTGAATGATACCACAGCCACATCCTTTTCTAGCCTTAAGAAAGGATGAGAGAACAAAGCAACAAAATAATCTTTGCATTTAGGAAAATCATGTTCGAATGATCATAAAACAGCAGGGTGAAGCTGCTACTATGAGCTTCCATTTGGAATTTTTTTTTTTTGAGCCCTCAGTTATTTTTACTCATTCTCACCCAATTTTTGTTTTATAAAGGAACCACCAATTACTGCAAAAACTTCATTTTACTTCTACAGTGGACACAAAGTGTCTTTGTTTTCTGCCCCAGAATAGAGGCTCTTAGCATAAGAATCCCAAAAACACTTTAAGAGTGAGAGACAGAGATTTTTATTGGTAAAAATCATGGAGCAGAAAAGTAATGTCATTCTATCCATTGATCTAATCTTGCACTCAAGTGAATGAAAACTCTCTTAATTTCTATCTCAGTAGCAGGATTCCAAAAGTACAGCATGAGGCAAGGCATAATAATGCTATTTAACTTTGAGTGATTATTACTAAATAAAGCTACTGGTAAAATAAATGTTATTACCACTGGTAAAAAAAAAAACAAAAAAAAAAAAACAAGAGAGACAGAGAGGGAGAACATTATGAGTCTGAAATGATAGATTAAATTATAAAGAATTAGAACAACAAGTGCACTTACAGCTACATTTCTAAAACTGCATTGAACCTCATAAATAGAATCAGCAGCTGCATGAGAGGTCTGTAGCTTTACTAATAAATCTGCTCCACTTTCAGTTCAGATTGACAATAGTTAAGACACAGGGATAACTGATAGTACATTTACACTAAAATATGTCACAAGTTCTGTAGGACAATAATATATCAACTGAACATACAAATGTAGAAGTATTTGTAGTGAACACCGTTTTATATCTTGGAGAATCCTTCGCATGGCAAACAACACTTTAAATATGCTTTTAACACAGTAGCACAGGAATTGCATCCAGCAATTGTCCCTTCCACCTGAGTCTTATGGTTGCAAGACTGCCTGGAGAACAATTCTCTGCAATCCAATACAAATTTAGACTCTAAACTGTAGCACGATATGTAATGGTAAATTATTAAAAACTTCCAGTGCATTCAGTCAAATGTGTATTCACATCTGTCTTTGTAAATAACATGTTTTTTCTTCATGTACTGAATTATAAAAGCTATAACCAGTTCATCTTGAACAATCCTGCCCTTCTTTCTGACACGTTATTTTGGTATATTATTTTGGAAAGATCATCTTACATACCACCCAGAAATATTCAGGCTTTGGAGATATTATTAGTGAGAAAATATTCCATTAGTAAATCCTGCCCCTCAGATGCAGGTATTCCACTTTCAACATGTTAAAACTTGTTTACATCACATTATATTCTCATCGCTCATAAAACAACACTTCTTCTACTGTTTTCCAAGGCATTTAGATTGTTGACCTGAAAATGCCCCTCCACATGATAATAACAGACAAAGTAATTCTATATTTTTGTCCTGGCCATGCTTCAAAGGTTGTAATTAATTATGTTAGATGATTACTAATAGCCTATAAAAATAAAGTCTAGAAAATTGTTTCAATTATGAGCTTTGCTCATTCAGCCCTAGTTCCAAAAACTTTTTTTTGTTTTGCAGAGAAAATAAATACTTCAACTCAATGTCTGATGTGTGAACTTTGAATGTTAGCCAGGCACTAAAGCACATAACGAAGCAAGTGACCTTTTCATTGTTCAGTGATGGCTGCATGTGATAGCAGTTCCCCAGGATGCATGTTTGGTACACAGGGTTATGTCTAATCATCTTGCTTACCATGTCTCAGCATGGATCCATTTGGGAAAAGCAACAACCTTTTTATTTAATCTACTAATCAATGGAATATAGATCCATGTTGAAAAATAATACCATCTTGCTAATAAAACTGAAACAAATTCACTAAAATGGAGATTCATACTGATCTCAATTACATGGGTGCCTCACTAATATTCTTGTGGATATAATGTAAATAATTCATGTGACATGTATTTTTAGGATTCTTAATTATTATTGAAAAATATTATCCATTAATAGCATTAACAGTCTTATAATCCTTACAGTTGCAGACCTTAGCAATTGATAATTGTCCCTTTTTTCCTCAAAACCTAATTGCTATTGAAAAATTTGCATCATCTAGTCTATCTTTATTAAACTTCTAAACATTTAAAATATAACATATAACAAAATTTCACTTTGTTAAGAAATCTTTTCTCTAAAACATCTAAACTTATTTTTCTACCATTTCAAACATAGTAGCAATGTATACATAAAATTAGAGTAACATGTTGTTCATATCACTGGTTTTGACTGGGTTGATAGAATAACTTATTTTAATTATTCTAAATTAAAAACTGAAACATGTAATTTACAATCAATAAATATAATCCAAACTTTATTTTACTATCACTTAATTTCCTTGCATATAGTTTAATTAAAATGTTGTATAGTGGAGTCTTCCAGACTCTATCAAAAATTAACTCTATCAAACTTGTATTTCATATTTGTACCAGTTTTCTTTTTAAATCTTTATTGAGTTATAATTGATATAGAAAAAGTTGCATAAATTCAAATTATACAATTTATACATTTTGATATGTTTTGACATATGCATACACCTGTGATACCATCACCACAATCAAGACATTAAACATATTCATCACCTCCTCTTACCGCACACACACACAGAAACGTTCAATACACAAAGCACAAAACAACACATGGAAATTTTTGTATCAGTTTTTTAGTAAAGAAAATCCCAATGTGAGTAGGTAACTCATTATTGCTAAGAAATAAAAATTTTTATAACAATATGGTAAATAATTACTCAAGTTGTTTATTCCCTGGGCTATTTACTAGTGACACATATTTTTTTCTATGAAAATGTGTTTGTAAAATATACTAAAATACTTTTATAAAAATTAAGAGTTTGCTAAAAATTAAGCCTTTTCTGAAACATTATTATGGAGCTTCACAAGAACCTAAGAGAAAGTCACATTGCAGGATACTATAACCAAATAGAACCTTCGTGCATATTATATGAAATCTTAAAAAATGTAATAATATACATATATGCAATACATTCTTTCACATTCTGAAGATGATTCTGTATGATTTTCTGGCATTGAATAGTCTAAACATGCTTTCTGCTATGTGTTTCATGAAAGGGCCTTATATAAAGTGACCCCCAAATGCTGAAGAAGCCAGGAAACCGAAAAGGAGGCAGACAAATCCAGTTTGTTGGTATCCAGTGATGTATTGAGTAAACCTACAGGCAGAAGTGTGGTCTTAGGCAGTGTGGATCTCTGCACCACTATTCCTTAGACCCAAGGCTTCTATAACATAGGGAAACAGTATATGTGCTCCAGCAAGACAATTAAAGGCCTCCAGAACAGGCAAGAATGCTGTATGCATCATAGCCTGTAATTTGTGCGATAACATCAAGTTTCTTTGCTCTTTTTTTTTTTTTGAGACAAGAGTTTAGCTCTTGTTGCCCAGGCTGGAGTGCAATGGCACATTCTTGGCTCACCACAACCTCCGTCTCCTGGGTTTAAGCAATTCTCCTGCCTCAGCCTCCCAAGTAGCTGGGACTACAGGCATGCATCACCACGCCCAGCTGATTTTGTATTTTTAGTAGAGATGGGGTTTCTCCATGTTGGTCAGGCTGGTCTCGGACTCCTGACCTCAGGTGATCCGCCCGCCTCGGCCTCCCAAAGTGCTGGGATCACAGGCATGAGCCACCACACCCAGCCTTCTTTGTTCTTATACTAGGAACAGGAAATAAAATTGAAACCAGGAGGCATTCATGGCACTGGGGCCAATCAGAAGTTATCATTGCAGATTAGCATCCAGGATGGAGTCACTTTTATCTCTACAGTATGGTATCAATTTGAACTTGGAGTAGCAATATAAGTGGCAATTGGGAAGCCATTATTTGTCTTCCTTTTCAGATTCGGGAAAAAATGATCTAACATAATAAAGAGATGTGCTCAACATCACAGAACTAAGGACCAGAACATGAGGTAGAACATGGACTACCAGACTCCTGAAAGAGAATTTTTTATACGAAAGACTACTGCCATCCCAGTATTCATGCACAGAAAACTGCTAGATCTCCTGTGAAAACTTGTCTAATGGTGCAAAGGATTAACTTAACTCTGAATTCCTTAAAAGCTTATGAATGAATACAAGAAATGAAGTCTTTAACTACTTGAAAATCTTAAAAACTCCTTCTCAGATTTGATTATTTTTGTCACCCTGGAAATGACACATTCATTCAACTTTGGTGTTAACCATTGACAACCACCTTACGATTTACTCATTTGGTGGTATTAGTTCTAGTTAAAGCTAACAGTTTTGGTGAGAATATGTACAGCACTCTCTATGATATAATATGTCTATGGGGGACTCTACAAAACTGAAAATGTCAATTTGAAAAGTGTCAGTACCTATGTGACACACACAAACACATGCACACACACATCACTCACTTGCTGGTGTTAAAGTCTTTAGACAAATTAAATTTATCAGAGTTTTTTTGAGCAAAGAAGCACTCATAAATCAGGGAGCACCCTGAATCAGTAAAGGTTCAGAAAGCTAGCAAGTGGGCAGGTAGTATTTATATAGAGAAAAAGGAACTGACATTAAAAAAAAAAAAATAGCCTGATTGGTGGCCTTTGCTTTATTTGGACATGTCTGAGCAGTTTGCATCCTGGGATTGGCTGAAAGCTCAGCCTCTATGATTGGCTGAGACTCAGTTATTTGTTGTAAGAATATAGTCTCATTAGGTTGCAGGTTGTTTACATATTTAGTTGGGTTACGTTCACTACAAAGGGAGGCAGGTTTAGGCCCAATTTAATATAATTTAACATTAATCAAAAGTTTAAGAAGTGATAAATGTATTTTCCTTTTTGATGAAAAGGAGTAGGGGAAAGGGTGCGTGGCCAGGATAAAAAAAAAGTTCAGGAATAGACCCTAAGTGGAAGAAAAAATAGTCAGTAGTGAATAATGATTGCATAGTCACAGACATTATCTGATACACAACTAGATTCAACACCCATTCTGTATTTCACAGGCCTCTACCTCACTTCTATTTGTGCTCTCTTTTTCTACTTTTCAAAGAAATTATATTAACACTGCTTTCTTGCTCTTTGATTTTCTTCTGCCACCTTCAGAAGGTTTGTTTTCTCTCCTTACCAAAGGTACCTCAGTTTTACTTTGCATTATTTCCCTGGCTTCTCAGAATTGAACTCTTCATAGCCCTGAAACTCGTACTGATGCACTTCTTTTTACAGCTAACTCCCCTCCTTAAATTATAAAAGAGAGAGAGAGCGCACCTGTGATAATTGACTGAAGTTATCCCACATATAACTAGGAAATTCCAACACTGCATATGCAGAGACTCACAGTATAGCTGAAGCTTTAAGCATGAGTAATAAATGACCAGACAAGGTGGTTCTATCCCCAACAGGAAAATTCTCAAGTTAGAAAAATAGTAATAAACCCGAGCAGCCTCATAGACTGTAGATTTATGCTTTATAGCTGTTAAAGCCCCACACTTAACCAGCCGGTGGGGCAGAATCATTTCCCATGGATCATAAATCACTCGCTTTTCTACGGTACTCAGTGTTCACCTTCATCTGACTACTAAGACAAATGTTAGCTTGTAGTTCAAACAAATTTGCATTATATGGTAGAATTATATGAATTGCCCATCCAGTTCTCCTGAGTGCCTGCAGATTGTCATAAAATAACAAGAGCAATACTATATTATGGAATTGCTGCTCATAGCACTACTCTTGATGGTGAGCCAAAGTACTGGAGAGCTTTAGAGTTTAGTTAGAACTTTAGAGTTAGGCCATAAAAACACGTTTCAGAAATATATGGGTATTTGAAAAGCTTGTGTTCATTTTTCTACAGACCAAATGAAGCATGTAATTCATGGAAACAGCATCAAACACAATGTTTTCCACCTAATTCCCAGCAATTTCTAGTAGCCAGGATAACAGAAAATCACAAGAAATCTAAGAGACAGTTGACTTCAGAAAACGAATTAACAGTAAATCTTAGATCAATAAAGAAGAAGTAGAACCAAACCCTTTCATAGATATGAGCAGCCAAAAACATGTTTGGTAAAATGCTAAAAATGAAAAATATGAGATAACCTCACTTGTAATTTGCTATAACATTTGTTCAAGATCTTCTTTGGTGGTAATAGATTATACTCTCATGTCACTCCAAGAATCTATTTTTGTAATTATATGACCCCATAGTCTAGGAATGAAGATACTGCCATCTTTATTATTACACATGCAAATAAATCGAAATTATTTGACATAAAATGTTATGGTATAAAATAGAGTCAAAAGGCCAATAAATATTTATATATTCCATGTGTTTCATTCAAAATAATGCCTTGGTACATGCATGCTCACCTTTCTCCAAAAATAACCTTGGAATTGGAGCACATGTTCAAAATTGACTAGTTAGAGCCCTGATATCACCACTATATTTCTGAAGTTAAAGCATCTAAAGAGGCTGAGAGCAGTTTGATAAAAATACAGGCCTGAGGAAAAAAAAAAAAATCTTCCCTGTGGAGCTTCAGAAAGGCTCCAAACTTGGATGGTTACATATTTAGAGAATGGGCGTGAGAGGCAGGACAGTAATTGCGGTAACCATATTTGGAACAGCTGGACCATGCAGCCTACCACCACCTCCACCATCACCACACAGTCAGGGAGAGTAACAGAAGTGCTGCTGTCTCTTCAAGAAAAGACAGATTTTGCATTTTAGGAGACTTCCATAATTTAGATAAATTCTTAGTGGGAACATTAGGGTACAAGATAAAGGCTTTATGAAGAGAGTACATGTATCTTGGGGTATAGGAGTTTGTGCACTGAGGTGAATCCTGCCTGCTGACATGCCTCACTTATTCACTGAGTCCTCCCAGTCAGCACTCCCAGTCAGAAGATTCTGGAAGGGAAACAAACCCATCCCAAAGAAAGAAAATCCCTTCCGATACCCATATTAGCCAATCTTCTCTTTCATTCACAAATATAAACTAACCACCAATGATCTCCACATAACCAAAGAGAGGGAACAAAGTACAAAGAACAAAGAAATTAAACAAAGAAGAAACCGTGGTAATTCAGAAAATACTAGTGAAATTGAAGATAATTCTACTCAGTAATTTTAGATTGATTAGAGAAGATATTGCATCAAAACCATTAAAAAAAAGCAGCAACATTTTTTTAAAAATTCAGAAGACAAGATAAAATTCTTGGTAATCAAAATTCAATAATAGCAAAAGTAATAAAAATACAACAGTGAAAAAATCTTCCAGATCACCAAGTCAAAAAATGAAGGGATAGAATGAACGAGAAAAGGTAGGGGAGGCAGTATAAATCCAAAAGACAAAAAACATTGGTCTAGTATGGAATAAATAAATAGAAAAAAAGGAAATATAAAATGGGAAGAATTACTCATAAATATAATAAAATACTCCAAGTCTGAAAATAAAACATTTTTAAACTGAGACCACCTTCTAATTGCCAAGCAGAGAACAATGAAAGAAGCAAAAGAGTGAAGAGCACCTCTACATAAAACCTATTCATTGAAAAATAAGTAGCTATAGGACTCTGAGAATAACATCTTTAAAAATAGTAATAATGGGAAGACCACAACACAGTTTTTTGTTGTTGTTGCTGTTTTTTAGATGGAGTCTTGCTCTGTTGCCCAGGCTGGAGTGCAGTGGTACAATCTTGGGTCACTGCAATCTCTGCCTCAAGGATTCAAGCGAGTCTCCTGCCTCAGCCTCCCAAGTGGCTGGGACTAAAGGCGTGTTCCATATGCCTGGCTAGTTTTTGTATTTGCAGTAGAGATGGGGTTTCGTCATATTGGTCAGGTCTCAAATTCCTGACCTCAAGTGATCCGCCCGCCTCAGCCTCCCAAAGTGTTGGGATTACAGGTGTGAGCCACTGCGCCTGGTCCACAACACAGTTTATAATAACATTTGCAGTAGGTGAAAGTAAAATGCTTCTTGTATCAGCAAAAAGACATAAAATAACATGTTCAACAAATATTTGAGTCTTGCTATGAGTTAGGCATCATTCTAAGTGTTGAAGCTCTAGCTATGCAGAAAAGACAAATATCAGGTTCTTCAAGAAGTTTGTATTCTAAGTGATGGAAAAGAAGTAATAAAATAAATAAGTAATCTAAGGTAATAAATATTATCAAGAAAATAAATCTGTTTAGGAGGATAAGAATTGATAAAGGTGAAATATAGGAAAGTTTGTAATTTTACAATTTGGTGACTTAAAAAAAAATCTAGAGAGCAAAGTTAATGTTCCAACTGTGAACAAACTATATATTAGCATAATGCTGGATTGTCAGACATCCAAAGTTCATATTCCTGTCAACAGGAGTGCATAAACATAGAAGTAATTTCTAACAATATTTATTACTATAATATTACTATTATAAATTTATTACTATAATAAATATTGTTAGATTTATAGTAATATTATATTACCAAACAATATTTATTAAAACAATATTTATTGTTTCTAACAATGTATATTACATTGTTTTCCAAGGGGAAATAATATACTAGGGTTTGATACTAGGGTTGATACTAGAGTTTCCTTATCTATAAAGGAGGATTTAAATACTTTCTCAAGTACTGTCTATCCAAAAGTTCTGTGATATCGCAAAACATTCAAATTTTAAAAATCACTTAAGCTAAAACATGTAAAATATATTTAAAATATGGCTACCTGTATCTAAATATGTTCATTGAAACACCATTTATAGAACATTTAAAATAATAAACACTCCCATCAATAGGAAATTGTTTAAAGAATTACATTTTTTAAGTCAATGGCATATTAGGTAGCCATACAAAGGATGAAAAGAATTTCACTCTAAGAAAACAAAATCAAGTTGAATAAAACAAAAATCAAGTTAAAATGCCATATCATCTTATATTGGAAATACACAAAACAATGTTAATAATGGTGTTCAAGAAGGTTGTTACATATTATGTAGGTTTTAAACAGATTATTTATTTTCTATATCATGTGCAGTTATTAGTGTTAACACTTTTAAATAACTAATCAAAAATAAGTAAAATCATACAGACTAAACTAAAAGACATCCAAGAAACCTTACATTTTAAAAAAGTTCCTTAAAAATATGAGATATCATTTCAATTGCATAAGATCACACAAGAAAACTATGTAGTTTATACATATATAAATAAAATATAATTTAAAATATTTGAAAATACTAGCAGTATATATACGCAACTGTTGGCTGAAATATCATGAGAAGGACTTTAGAATCAGAGTTGGGGTCAGAAAAAAGATGTATGGAAAAGAACATTAGCTTTTAGACTTATTTGTTTCTGTAATTTAATTGTTATTTAATCAGAACCTATTACTTCTATAAAATAAAAGTAATGGAAAAGATATCTCTATATTTACACATGTATGAACAACTGGAATTATATGTATATGCCATTTTATATATGACATTTACATCTGTATGACATATGACATTTTAATAACATTTAACTTTGAGTTAAGAAGTTAAACAAGTTGCAATTTTACTCCTTAATTTATAAATCAGTGTTTGATTCATTTATAAAAAAGATATATTGTATTATAACTATTTTAATAGAATAACCTATGGTCAACATAAATATAGTTAACCATTTCCAAATAATTTATACAAAATATTCAGACATTTAACTTGGATCAAAAAAAAGTATCAATTAGTAACAATTTGGTAATTTTAACATATTTGTGAAAGTAATTGTTCTTCACTGAAATTTACAGCACAATAGATGACCATACTTGAAAAATATTAAATTTTTAATTTATTTTAGTACTGGTCTAATTCAGCCTGCAATACTATCTCTAAAATCTGTGGACAGAAGGTGAGAATCAATTTAAATTTTTAAAATGAAATAGATATGCAAAATATGTTCAGAGAAAAACAGGTACTGAGTTTCATGAAAGAAAGTCATGTATTGAGCAAGGCAGTCATTGTACCAGCACTGGTCAACTTCCCTCTGGACTCTGAATAATGATAAAATCCATCTTCGTGTTATTTGGGGCATTATATTTTGGACCTCTTTCTTAGACCAGATTATCCTGAAATTTAACTAATAAATCCTTAAACGAAGACACACTTTTCCATGCTAGCTGAAAATGAAAAAGGATGGACACTTCCTAAACTAAGTCCTAAGTATTAATAATTCAGAAATAAAGGGCATTTTATACTAACATTTTAATCTTCTTCCTTAATTGCACATCTACTGAGTAGCTAAGTTTCTCCTTGTTCTTTGATCTTCCACCAATTCTTTAAAAACTTTTCCCCCAATTTAATGCAATTCAGCAAACATTTAATTTGATCTAATTGCTTTTGCAGTTCAGAAAGCACAACCGTGACACAATAAACTTGAAAAATTAGCTACTGGTCATGCATGGGCTCTGAAGAAATGCATATTTTTCTCAGGTTCTCCAATCATGATATTTAAGAGTAATATAATGTATTAAGCTTTTATACAAAATTCAGTGCTTTTTTGGTCCATTTTAATGACAAATGTGACATTAGCCAAAATTTAAAATTTTGGTTAATCTAAAGTTATTCGTGAAATATAGAGATCGAAAATGGTAGTAAAATTGTCCATTTAAAAATGTTTTACTGCTGATGAACCATGTTATATTCCAAGTGTCACTTTGTATTTTCTAACTTCTGTTTCTGAACAAAAATTAAAAGAGAAAATTGACTTTTAAACTTTCACACTAATATCTTTTTTGCTGTGTACAATTCTGATCATATATCTATAGACATGACCTAGAAAAAGAATGGTAATTTGCAAATGCAAGCTAAAATGAAGTCTATACAATGAAAACAATTAGTGTTGCCTGACAATCAATTATAGCTATTAAGACTACTCAAAGAATGGTGTCTCTTCACTGACCTGACCTCTGTGGTGACAGACAGTGGGAACAAAGCTGAGTATGTACCACCTTGAGAAACTCTACTCCATGTGGTCCACAGACACTGCTGCCTTTGACCTTGTACACACCAGCCATCATCTTCCTTTACCTGGACTAGTTCAACAGCTTTTCTGGTTTTACTTTTTCAGTTTTTCCTCTTTACATCTATAACAGCATCTCTACCCACCAGAGAAAATTAGTTTGTGTAAAGGAAAATGTGTTATTTTTTAAGACACAAAATCAAAATCCTCCAAAGACTTCTCATTGCAACCCAAATAAAATACTAACTCTGTAGGCCAGGACCAAAACTTCCCACATAATTTCTGACTTCATCCCATTCTAGAACTACTGCCTGTGCCCTGCCCACTGTTTCTCATTCTGTCAAACTTTCCAACCTCATTGCTTTCGCAGAGCTTCTTGTACTTGCTGATGTCATCTGCCTGTAGACTGAACAAGACCATCTCCTTCCAATTTTTTTTCTTGAACTCGAATGTCATCTTACTCACAACATTGACCATCTTGTTAAAGCAATCCCAGCCCCCATCATCGAACCACCTTTGTTCTCTATCACATTGTGGATTTTATCTTCTAATTTAATACTTAGATTTACCTTATCTAATTTATTTTTTCTATGATTATTGTCAACCTGCTTCTCCTAGGCAAGGCATTTCCTTGTTATCACTGTATCACCAGTGCATAATTCAATGGCTGGAAGAAAGGAGACACAACAAATATTTGTAAACTGACTAATTGATTAATGTCATTTCTGGTTCCATTCTATTTCCCTCTGGGACCTCTTCTTGAAACAGTGAATATTGAAACTGCTAGATATTTCCAATATTCCTCAGCTTGTCATTCCCACTTCTTACCTATTTCTCCTTTATGCACTATAAAAATTCCTAAACTCTATCTTCCAGCACACAACTTTGATCTTAATTAGAGTCTCTTTTCTTGTTTAGTTTGATATTAGAAGGGAGAGGATTATCTTTTGATTTTAAAAGAACAGGGATGATTTATTTTCACATCTATTTATGTTTAATAGATATTATTCTGTTTCCACTATTTCTAATAATATTTGTTATATTAGTATCAAAGTCTTACTCTGTTTTTTTAAATTAATCCTGTTTCTTTGGATAGCAGATTCTGCTATTGTATTTACTGTCTGTCCTTCAAACATTTGCTGATTTTTTAATTCTTTTATTCTAGGTAGTACGGTTTGTTCAATTTATTTTACTATAGCTATTTTCAAATTACTTAAAATAGTTAAAGTTGCTTTAAATATGCCTGTAATAAGGAGTTTAGAAATTGAAAAGAGTCAGGCATATTTCCAAGAAGATTTCCACATTTTAATAAGATAAACAGTAAAATAAATAATCATTTTATTACATAGAGGAGGAAATGTAAATGAGATGATAAATATTCAGTGTGAAATAGATAATTTGTACTTTTACTAATTATGTCATATATTATGAATCACACATGCTTGTTACATTAAGGCTATAGAGTCCTTTGTTTGCCAAAATAAACTTTAGTAAAGCAGGTTATCTGATCAATCACTTATGTTTCTATCCATGAAATTAGCAGATATCAAAGTGAACTTTTTGCTTATGATGTACTCTCTTCTGACGACACTGAACAGACAAATAAAAAAAAAAATCCCCATTGTCATGTTCTTCTATTATTTTACTTTACACTTCATTTGTTTCTGTTACATAGACTTGTACTTTATTATTACCCATTGTTACTAACAGGCACATTCAATTCTGTTCCAATAAAAGTTTCTGTCATCTATTAACTATGAAACTAATCACTAACATGTAACAGGTTTGATTGCATGTATTGATTCTAAAGTGTTTATCTCTTTGTTTGTTCCTTAAAAATAAACCAGTTAACTCTATTTATAATTTATTGATGAGTCAATTGACTTAATCTTGCAAAAGAAAATCTTTTAAAGTCTACAGGTGATGTTTAACATCATTCATGTTACTTTGTACTTGCAAGGCACATAACATTATTTCACATTTAAAACAACATTAAGTATTATTCTTTGTTTTGACCTTCTGAATTCTTTATAATAGTAAAAGACACTATATACCATTAGACATATTATTAAATCCCTTTAATATTTACGTGACTCATTTCTGTGATAAGAAGGTATTGTTGGTTTTCTCTCTCTGCACACACATACGTGCACACGCACACACACACACACACCTGTATATGAAGCTTTGGTTTTAGTTATGTTTCCATTTTTCAATATATCTATTCTAACCATCAGAATATCCTAGGATAAATTCCTGTTAGATCTTACTAGATCTTAATGTTTTTAGTCATATACCTGTAAAAGCAGTTTGGTAGTGTGGTTTTACTCCATAGACAGAGTGAATGTTATAACTGATTACATTTTTACTTAACAAATGGACTTCAGAAAGCTTATAATCAAATCTGTGGTTCATCTAAAGCAGGTATGTGCCTTAATACCATTCCCAAATTCACTTTAAAATGACATTTTTCCTTTTCTTACCTATCATAATCAGTATGTAATATACATTAAAAAAGAAATTATGTGTATACACACACACACACACACACACACACACACACACACACATACATATCCTTATCTACTTCTGCTTTCTTTCATGACCTCTACAGATACTCTAGTGCAAGTCCTCACCATTGCTCCTGGGATTTGCCATACCGTGTAACTACCTGAATGGTCTCTCCATTCATCATTGCTTACTTCTTAATGCAAGTGATTTTGTGTCCCCTGCTTAAAACACTTGACAGGCTACTCCCACACTACAGCATTCTCAACTGCAAATTTTGCATCATCTGACTCTTTTCATCTCTTCAGCTTTATTGTGTGGTTTCCCATCCTTTCCTTGATTTCAATGTTAACACTCCGGTCCCACTGACCTTCTGTCCCTTACTTCCAAGGTTGTTTTTTTTAATCTCTCCACTGTGCTTCCCTGGCCACACTTAGAACTCTCACTTGTGCTCTTCCCTGGTATTTTCTCTGTCCTGGCATTCTCTCTGGTCCACCTTCCAGTCTGAAATTCAGTGGCACTTCTTTGAAAATGCCTTCCTTGACTCAATTTAAAATTAGGACTGCTATCTTAGTGTCTTACAGCATTTCATTTTTTGCACCATAGAGAATAATTTGCCATCTTTCTCATATTTTTAACAGTTTTTGTCTTTTTTTTCTCATCAATTTGCAAGCTCCTTGTGGTCAGAGGACATGTACATCTGATTAAACATGGACTCTACAGTGCTTAGAACACAGCTTAGGGCATACAGACCCTTAACTATTTGATTATAAGTGAACAAATGTTCCTTCAAACACTTAAGATAGGAATAATATACTGTAATTTTTAAAAAGACTTTCAATATTGAGTAAATATTCAAGTTATTTTAATACCAAGCTTGGGTCTCCACAGATGCTTAAAATATTTATTCAAAAATTTTACACATGTATTCTTTTTATTAAAAAAGCAAGATTGTGCTTTTTATATATTGAACCTAACAGTAATTAGGCAACTGAGCCTGAAATGAATAGAATACAAACTTTGAAAAAATTGTGTCTCATTATTTTCCTAGCTTTTCTTATTTGGAAACATTTCATATTTTTAAATATTACATTTATTGAATAAAATGGGTAAGCAGAAAAAAGAAAAATTTTTTATAAGAAAGAAGGCTATTTGTTCCTTTTCATCTATTTTGTAATCAAAATAAAAGTCCCCAGAAAATAATGCATATTTTCATTCAAATCTTGACTGGCCCCATATTTACTGGATACAGTAGAGAACAATATGCCTGGGTTAATTTTTATTATCTAAAATTAACTTATTAAGTGTGATGTTGAGACTCTATTTGGAGTGTCTATCAAAGGACAATAATCCAATTATCTCTATTGTTATATTGTTTAACCTTGGAAATCCAAATACATATAATACAAATCATGTAATAATTAGTAATGATAATAAGTTAAATCTATCAAAACCTCTGATCCCATAGCTGGTCACGAAGTAATACTAAATACATTTCTCCATGTGTTGGCCTTTAGGAAATTGTGTTGTTTGAGCATGATAGTGCTAAAGCTAGTCCAGGGAGCTTCCAATTTGGTTATGCTCTCATTAGCATATTTACTTGGCTAACTGCATCTGAGACCTTGATTAAAAATATAATAATTGTTATGGATTTCTACCACTGCCTATGAGGAAATAACAGAAATGTATTTAAATTCCCAACTTCAATGCCAGAAAATCACATAAAATACATAAATCAAAGGTTGTCAGATATTGGACAGCCGGCAGTAAAGACAGGACCTCTGAGAGAAGAGAATTAATGAACATAAGCGCTAGGAGTTCCCAAATGTACTACCTGTGGAAAGTTTTCAGGCCTAGCAAAGAAAGAGTGTCCAAAGATAGCTGAATAGTCTCTATAGTCTCTATAGTCTCTATAGTTGAGCTCAAAGTCCAGAGAAGCCAAAGCCGATAGGATTAGTAGAATGTAGTATCAGAATGAAGGGATAGCACACAGAAAGCTGCAGAATCTGTATGTTGTCCCCTTCAAGGCTTTTATTGAGTGCATCCATTCATGCTAGTGAGGAAACAACTAACACATAGAAAGATGCCTTAGAAAAGGGTTAGCTGAACAATCTCGAGAGTCAAAACATCTCCTAACACATCAAATATCTAGTAAAATCCTGAGAATCGTATTGCCTTAGTTGCGACCCCAAATTAGCCTTAAAGTCAAGAATGCTTTATATACCCAATATATAAAGATACAAAACAAATCTACCATTTAAACACAAAAATTATCTTCCAATGTCCAATAAAAAAAAATTAGGAGATGTGTAAAGAGAAATTTTAAAAATCATTGTCTTAATCCATTCAAGCTGTTATAATAAAATATCATAAACAGAGTAGCTTATAAACAATAGAAATTTACTTCTTAAGGTTCTGGAGGCTGAGAAGTTCAAAATCAGGGTGCCAGCAGATTCAGTATCTGACGGGGGTTCTGCTGGTTTATAGATAAAGTCTTCTAGCTGTATCCTCGCATGGTGAAAGGGACAAGGCAGCTCTTTGGAATCCCATTCAAAAGAGTATTAATACCACTTATGAAATAATAATCTAATAACCATGCATAAACCAATAATCTCTCAAAGGCCCTACTTCCCAATATCATCATTTTGAAGGGTTAGGATTTCAACATATACATTTTGGGAGGACCCAAATTTCAGACCATAACATCCATATAGCTATAACCAGTGGGAATAATCAATAAATGGAAATAGATATATAATTGACACATATTATAGAATTAGTAAGAAATATTAAAAGAGCTACTATAAATAAAGTTGACATGTTCAAGAAGGGAGAGGAGAGTATGAAAATCATGTAGAAATAAATGCAAGATATAAATAAGCTCAAAACAAATTTCTAGACATTGAAAATAAAATATCTCAGAAAAATATGCTGAATGACATTAATAGCAAATTAGATATTGCAGGAAAAATTTAGAACTGGAACACATAGCAATAGGAACCAGCTAAGTTAAACACACACACACACACACACACACACACACACACACACACAGAAAAAAAGTCTAAGAAATGAACATCAGGCCGGATGCAGTGGCTCATGCCTGTAATCCCAGCACTTGGGGAGGCCGAGAAGGGTGGATGACCTGAGGTTAGAAGTTCGAGAACAGCCTGGCCAACATGGCGAAAACCCATCTCTAATAAAAATACAAGAAAATTAGCCAGATGTGGTGACAGGCACCTGTAATCCCAGCTACTCGGGAAGCTGAGGCATGAGAATCGCTTGAACCTGGGCAGCAGAGGTTGCAGTGAGCCAAGATGGTGCCACTGCACTCCAGCCTGAGTGACAGAGTGAAACTCCATCTCAATAAAAAAAAAAAAAAAAAATCAGTGAGCTGTGGAATAATGTCAAGTGGCTCATCACTTCACAGCTGGAATCCCAGAAGAGAGGAAAAGAAGAGAGAATACAAAAATATTTAAAGAAATTGTAGACAAAATTTCAATTTTGACAAAAGTTATAAACCCACAGATACAAGAAACTCAATCAACCCCAAGCAGAAGAAATATGAAGAACACCACACCAAGTTGCAGCATTATCAAAATGCTGACCATCGGCAGTGAAGAGAAAGTATTTAAAGCAAAGGAAAAAAAAATACACATCATATAACAAGGAACAAAAATAAGAATGATAGCAGATTTCTCATCAAAAAATGATCCAAGCCAGTGGAAAACAGAGCATCAACTTCACAGTATTGAAAACAAAAGTGAATAAAATCAAAGCTATCTACCAAGGCTTCAATAGCCATCAAAAGTATCTTTCAAAAATGCAGGTGAAATAAAGAGTGTTTTGGACATATGAAAGCTGAAAAACTTTATCAACAGGATATCAACACTGCAAGAAATATTGAAGTTAAATCTTTCACACAGAAAGAGTATGCTACCAGATGAAAATTTGAATCTAAAGAAATAATAAAGATTTCTGAAAATGATGACAGGTGGATAAATATAATATACATGTTTTTAATAATTTAATCTAATTTTTAATTTTTGAAAAGTTAACCATTAATACAAATATGATAAAAATGTATGTTGGGTTTTATAGCATATTTAATTGTTAAGTATATGACAATAGCTTAAAGATCAGAAAAGTGTGTGTGTATATGTATATGTGTGTGTTTGTATACATATTTATATATATATGTAAGGTTTTTACATTATACATAAAGTGGTTTAATATTATTTGTGATCAGTTAAATATGTATGGCATAAACTCTAGAGAATCTACTCCCCAAAATGGAGCTATAGCTAATAATTCAAAGATAATATTGTCATAATGCTTGGACTTTTTATAGTATGTCTTTCATAATCAGTTAATATAATACATATGAAAGATGTTAGGAATATATACTGTTTTCCATAAAATTGAGGCAATATTTAAAATGTTTTTGATAATTCCATAAGTAATGAAAGCATAAGAAACATTTCAAGAATGCCTGAAACACAGAAATTTTTAAATTTTAATCAATGCTATGACAATGTCAGATTAAACTTTTTCTCTAAAATACAGTTTGGGTTATGTTACCCTTCTGCCTAACACCTTCAATGGCTCAATATTTCTACTCATAGTTAAAGGACAAATTAAAAATTTCAGCTCCTCTGTAAATCCTTTTCTGAATTTTCAGAAATGAAATTAATCACTCTAAAAAAATCTGCTAGAGTTTGAATGTCTGTCTACTCTAAAACTTATGTTGTAATTTAACTGCCATTTTAACAGTACTAGGTAGTGGGACATTTAAGAATTGGTGAGGTCATGTGAGCTCTTCCCTAAGAGATGGGATTTGTGCTGTTATAAAATGGCAATGTAGCTCTCTCTTGCCCTGTCTCGCTCTTTAGTCTTTCACTATGTGATGATGTAGCAAGAAAATCTTTGCAAGATGCCAGAAACTTCGTGTTGGACTTCCCAGCCTTCAGAACTGAATCAATACATTTTCATTTATTATAAGTTACCCATCTCAGGTATTCTGTTATAGCAACACAAAAAGGACTAAAGCAAAATCCTCATTGTATTCTAGTGATCTTTAAAAATTGTTATTTTTAATACCTAATGCATGTGGGACTTAAAACCTAGATGATGGGTTGATGGGTGCAGCAAACCACCATGGCACATGTATACCAATGTAACAAACCTTCATGTTCTGCACATGTATCCCAGAACTTAAAGTATAATTTAAAAAAAAGAAAAAAAAGTAAGACAATGTATATGTGTTTGTGCGTGCCTACACACACATGCATATATACACACATGCGTACATACACACACACACACAAAATTGTCATTTTTTCTTAGTGTTTTTTTTAGTCGGCAAATAAAAATTATATGCATTTATGGCGTACAACATGATGTCTTGAAATATGTATACACTGTGAAATAGCTAGATCGGACTAATATATGCATTATCTCACTTATTTTTTTGTGGTGAGAACAATGAAAATCTATTCTCAGCAATATTCAAGTATACAATACATCATTATTAACTATAGTCACCATGCTATCCAGTAGTTCTCTTGAATTTATTCTTCTGCTTAACCAAAATTTTGTATCCTTTAATCAACATCTCCCCAGTTTTTCATCCACCGCCCCAGTTCCACCCACTGGTTACCACCATTCAACTCTCTGCTTCTGTGAGTTTTATTTTTTAGATTTCACATGTAAGAGAGATCATGCAATATTTTTTTTCTGTGCCTGGCTTACTAAGCTGAGACCAACATGAAGAAAGAAGCAGATAAAGGGGATGAAAAATATGGAGGCCTAGATGCAGAACTGTGATTTATGTGTTCAAGAAACAGAGGAGGCCATTGTGCCCAGAAAGCAAGATGGTGAGGAGGGAGGTTGGTAAACAAAGAAGGTCCAAGATTATCCAGATTCAATTATAAGATTTGTAGGACAGAGTAAGGACTTTGAATTCCATCCGAAAAGTGCCACTGAAGAATGAAAAACATAGATATCTAACATGAATCCATTTTTATTTAAAAAGATGAGGTTGTTAAACAGGAAACCAGAAGACTAGTTGGTTAGCAGTAGGATGTTTTGGCAATTGTTGATGTTGACTTTAATTTGGTGTTAGTGATGGAGATGGAGCACTAAAGTTTTGTTGAAATATATTTTAAAATTACAACAATGGAATTAGCTGATGGATTGGGTGTATATAGTTTAAAAGAAAAAGAGGAACAAAATATTTTTTAAATTTGCTGATGTAATAATTTTATGTTAAAAGCATTTTTTCCCCTACATGTATAAAGAATTATGGAGTTTGGAAAAGTACATAGAATAAGACAATTCAAATATTTATAATATTTACATTTCTTCAACATTTAATTTGTACATTTGTAAAATAAATTCTACTTGGGTCAAAAATTACTTCATCTCAAAGAAAGCAACAGGAAAAAGTCTCCCCAAATAAAGCACAACAATGACACAGCAGAGTTTAGAATCACTGTTGTCCCATTTCGTGAGATCCCAACAGGCATTTTGAGTTTGTGAAGCTTTTTTAGACCCTCATACATAAACAAATATAAAAGATGAGACAAAGCTTGAATAATTTCACTGCGAATTTCTAGCATATTAAAATGTAAATATTTTCCTTATGTCAACATTTTTCTTTGAATGCTCACACAGGTTTAATCATTATTATAAGCTGACAAAAATCTATGAAAATTCTCTGTTGATCTGGTCAAATCTAATTGCCTCCTGTCACTAATTCAACTGGCCCCATGTGCAGTTGGTCTTAATACTGCCAAATTCAATCAGGGTAAGAAGAAAAAGAGTGTATTAAAATTGCAGAAAGAGTGAGCTTTTTAATAGCAAGATGCTATTTCAGCATTTTAACATATTAATATCTTTGCATAATAGAATTTCTATCATGATTATTGAAAGTGATATTTACTTTTTTCTGGATAATTTCTTTCAAAAGTTAAAATTATAGAAATAAGAAGGATGCTGATTAATTCATGATTATGAAAAGCACTTTTTCAACTAAAAGAGCTCTCTAAAACTAATAGTGATTCAAATAAACTTATACCAGGAGACTGACCAAGCAGGTACTCCTGAAAACCATTTATTTGATCTATTTTATCATGAAAATAGAAAGATTGTCCTTTCTAAGCTTAATTGCATAACATAGATCAGAATATTATATTCTCGATATATTTATGATTTTTGTAGAGCCAACTAATTTTACATATAGCGCTTCTACATGAAATATGATATAAGTAGCATCATGGTGACTGTCTTAGGTGAAAAATTTGAAATATCTTTCTATTATATCATTTCTAACTCATTTCTCTGTGTATATGTATTTGATTTGGTGAAAGTCATATCAGAATGTTTGGTCATAAAACCAAGCCTAACTCTACTAGTGTCTTTCAGAATAGTATCATCAATCTTTTCAAAAAAGGAATATGACCTTATGATAATGTATCATGAAAAAGACAAGATTTCAAGTCCTACATGGACTACTTCATCAAGAAATGACTTATTAACTGCACTGCAATGGAGACGATTCAGTATTCCTAATTCAAACAGTGGCTAATTTGTGCTGAAATTAAGAATTGCTGGAGAAATTAACTACAGAATATAGTTGAAGAAATAATAACTTAGGATTTACAGAAGCATTTTCCCCCAAATTTTCAGTACTTTAGATTAAATATATTTTTCAAGAAAACTCAATTTTAGTACCTCTCAACTGTTCAACCAAAACCAGAATAATTATATTTATTTCAATGTACAACACTGTATTAGGGTTCTCTAGAGGAACAGGACTAATAGGATATATGTATATATGAAAGGGTGTTTATTAAGGAGTATTGACTCAAATAGTCACAAAGTGAAGTCCTACAGTAGGCTGTCTGCAAGCTGAGGAGCAAGAAAGCCAGTCCAAGACACAAAACCTCAAAAGTAGGGGAGCCGACAGTGTAGCCATCAGTCTGTGGCCGAAGGCCCAAAGGGCCCTGGCAGACCACTGGTTGTAGGTCCAAGAGTCCACAAGCTGAAGAACTTGGAGTCCAGTGTTTGAGGGCAGGAAACAGCCAGTATGGGAGAAAGATGAAGGCAGGAAGACTCAGCCAGTCTAGTCCTTCCATGTTCCTCTGCCTGCTTTTATCCTAGCTGCACTAGCAGCTGACTAGCTGCTGACCACCCAGATTGAGGGTGGATCTGCCTCTCCCAGTCCACTTACTTAAATGTTTATCTCCTTTGGCAGCACTCTCACAGACACATCCAGAAACAATAGCTTGCCTACTTCGATCCAATTAAGTTGACAATATTAACCATCACAAATACTCTATTGACAATTTAGTTATGAAGGAAATTAAATATTACCAGATTACATATACTATCAGGGTATTATAAAAAACTTATCTATTATTTTTATACCTGAACAAAAATAATAAATTTAGGAAATTTGGCATTCATTCAAATGCCAAATGAATGCCAACTTTCATGCAAAACGAGTTACCTACCAGGTTACCTGTCAAGAATTTTAGGTTCATTTTTAGTTTGGATAGAAAAGGTCTCTAACCTTCTAATTCATAGGATAAATTATCCTTTGTCCTGATAATTTACCTTTATTCCTGCTGAAGTTGGTATTCTACTCTAGGTCTCTGATTATAAAAAATAATATTCTTGTACTAAAATAATGTTTTCCGTATTCACACAGGTGGTAATTTCATATGAGTGTATGATTTTTCATTATCATACAATGAAAAACTCAGTTGACTACTATTGATTTTCAATTAAGAGCTGTGACACCTTTTGATAAAACTGGAATTTAAGTTTTTTAGGGGGAGAGAGTAACAATGACATCTAAAAAATTTTATTTCTGCTTATCTAAAATATGCTTATAATATAGTCAAATATTATTCTCCTGTTTGTTCTATTTGAAGTTGCCCTATAATGAAACATTCAAACATCTATAAGTGTTCACCAGGAAAAACTAAGAAAAATGTTAAAACTGAAGAAATACAACTTCTCTTTGGGCAACAAAGATTTTAAAAGTTTGAAATATTTTATAGGTATCATTACATACTCATAATTCTAAAATATATGTAGGAATGCAAATAAGTAAGCTTTTACTTTTCTCTGTTTTTGATATGTAATTCTTCAATTATTTTGATATTACTTTTCTATGAAGCTAATAATTAGGAAGTATATATATATAATTTTTTAAACATTTTCTTCTCTTCTGTTTCAGTGTAGAATGTTGCTGTGGAATAAAAAAAGATCTCAATTTTGATGTTTACTTGATACATGGAATTACTGCAAATAAGTGAATATTCTGAAATATTATCTTATTACTTTATTTCTTTAGAGATTAAACAAAAGTTAATGTGGGTATTGAAGAACAGACTTCCTTCATTTAATATCTGAGCACAAATTTAATAAAATACATTATTCTGAAATATTAACATTTGCTGATAATATAGAATACTGCATTAGTTATCTCTATTTATACACATGATAATAATTCTTAGGTTAACACTGCAATAATAAAAAAACTAAAGTAAATATGTTCTACTTTATAGGCTTCATTAATTTTTATCATATTTTCCTTAATTTTGTCATTTTTTCAGCCTCAAAGCATCACTTTAACATTTAACTTGCCAACTAATGTGTATATTTGCATAAATCTGTAGTTAACATTTATTCTATAGGCCCCTAGACAGGAATCTAAGTTGGCTTATAAGGTCAAAAATATAAGATTTGTAAATGTTACAATAGTAAAGCTGATACTTCACAGGAATAATATATTAAAAATCAGACATTGTGCTCTAGATGGGAAATGTCCTCCTCGCTGAAAGCAATAAAATAAGTCAGTGTCTAACTGCTTTGACAATAGTAATGTAAACCACTAAATAAATTTTTTGATACAACAAGAAAGTATAATTTTAAGCATTATCTATCTCTTAAGATTATTCTAGTTTCACACTGATGTGGTCTGTTAGACCACATATGAATTAGAAATAATGATTTCGATTCATTTTCATGGCAATATTTGTGTATACATTAAGTAATTTTAAATAAGGCACACTCTAAAAAGTTAATACAATTGAACTTCGAAAACATGGGTTTCAAGTGTGGGTCCACTTACATAGATTTTTTAAAATAAATATACTGGAAAATTGGAGATTTGCAACAATTTGAAAAAAAATTTGCAGATGAACCATGTAGCCTAGAAATATCAAAAAATTTAAGAAAAAGTTAGATGTGTCATAAATGCATAAAATATATGTAGATATTAGTCTATCTTGTTATTTCCTACCATAAAATATGCACAAATCTATTATAAAAACTTAAAACATCAAAACTTACACACACAAAAACTTACAGAGCATGGTGTCATTTGCAGACTAGAGAAATGTAAACAAATCTAGATATGTAGTATTAAATCATAAGTACATAAAATTTACAGTAGTACATACTGCACTACCATGATAATTTTGTAGCCACTGCTGTGAGCCGAAGTATTGCGAGTATCCTATTTGCTTAAAAAGCCATGTGATGCTTATCATCTCCATGTGAAAAGTTTGTTTCTCCGATATATTTAATATATTGTATATTGCAGTAGAAAGTGATCTCTGGTAGTTCTTGTGTATTTTTCATCATGTTTACTGAAACAATGTAAACCTTGACTCGAAGTACCACTAGTGATGCTGGAAGTCCTCCCAAGAAGCAGAGAAAAGCCATGACATTATGAGAAAAAGTTGAATTGCCTGGTATGCAATTGAAGCATGCAAATGTGATTGCCCACCATTTTAAGATAAATGAATTCAGTATGAGAACCATTAAAAGAGAAGAAGAAGAAGAAAAAGAAAGAAATTTCTGAAGATGTTGCTGTAGCTACAGCAGCAGGCACAGAAACCTTGAACTTTTTGCAAAAGATGTGCCTTTTTATCTCATATTGAACATGCAGCTTTTATGTTGGTGCAGAATTGCCAAAAGAAGGTATACTGATAGACTCTGATATGATTCCAGAAAAAACAAAATCATATGACAAATAAAAATGAAAGTGAACAATCAAAAGCTAAAGAATTTCATGCTAGCAAAGGATGGTTTAATAATTTTAGAAAGAGGGTTGGCTTTAAAAATGTCAACAGGAGGGGTGGCTTTTGCTGACCTAGATGCAGCAGAAGACTTCCCAGAAGCCATTAAGAAAATCATTGAGAAAGGATATCCACCTGAACAAGTTTTTAATGCAAATAAAAGTGCTCTATTTGGGGCTGGGGGAGGGGTGGGAAAGACAGAAGAGACATTTATTAATAAGGAAGAGAAATGAACACCAGGATTTAAGGCAAGGAGGGATAGGCTAACTCTACTGTTTTGTGCAAATGCAATTGGGTTTATGATCAGGACTACCCTTATGTATAAAGTTGCTAACCCCCCAGTCTTGATAGGAAAAGAAAAACACTAGCTGCCAGTCTTTTGGTTGCACAGCAAGAAGACATAGGCAACAAGGATACCTTTTCTGACTTGGTTTCATCAATGCTTTGTGACTGAAGTAAAGAAGTGCCTTGGCAGTAAGGGATTGCCTTTTAAAGTTATTTTGATATTGGACAAGGCCCCTGGCCATCCAGAGCTCCATGAATTCAATACAGTGTCTCTAATTTAGCCTCTAGATCAGGGGATCACAAGGAACTTTAAGGCTGATTACAGATAATACTCTATGGAAAGCATTATCAGTGTTATAGAAGAGAATCCCAATAGAGAGAACATCATGGAAGTCTGGAAGCACTATACACTATTGAAGATGCCAGTGTTGTAACGGACCAATCTGTGGAGTCATCAAACCTGAAATGATCAATTCCTGTTGATTGAAAGTGTCAAGATGTTGTGCATGACTGCACAGGATTCAAGACAGAGTTGTTCAAGAAAATCATGAAAGAGATTGTAAATATGGCAAAAAAAAAAAATGATAGGGGAGTGGTGTTTCACCATGTGGATCTTGGAGAAATTCAAGAGCTAATAGGCACTCACCAGAGGAATTAACAGAAAACTTCATGGAGATAAGCATTCCTAAACCAGTGCCAAACGATGAAGGAGAAGACATAGAAGAAGCGGTGCTAGAAAACAAATTGCATTAGACAGTCTGACTGAAGAGTTCCAATTATTCAAGAGTGCTTTCAACTTCTTTCATGACATGGACCCTTTTATAATGCAGGTACTGAAACTGAACCAGTTTGTGGAAGAAGAATCGATACTCTATGGAAACATTTTTAGAGAAATACAAAAGCAAAGGTGTCGGACAGAAATTACGATGAATTTCCATAAATGTATACCAAGTGTACCTTCCACTTCTGCCTCTCCTTTTACCTCCTCCACCTTTTCAGCCTCTACTGCCCCTGAGACAGCAAGACCTACCCCTCTTCTTATTCCTTCTCCTCAGTCTAGTCACTGGGAAAATAGTGAGGATAAAGGTCTTCATGTTGACCCACTTCCACTTAATCAAGCAAATATATTTTCTCATCCTTAATCTTCTATTGATAGCATTTTCTTTTCTCTAGCTCATTTTATTGTAAGAATACAGTATATAATACAAATAACATAGAAAACATATGTTAATAGACTGTGTTATCAGTAAGGCTTCTGGTCACCAGCAGGCTGTTGGAGGTGGGGCCTGGTGGGAGGTGATTGGATCATGGGGGTGGATTACCCTCTGCTGTTCTCGTGATAGTGAGTTCTCACAAAATCTGGTTGTTTACCAGTGTGTAGCACTTCCTCCTTTGCTCTTTCTCTCTCCTGCTCTGTCATGTCAAGAAGGTGCTTGCTTCCCCTTCACCTTTCTGCCATGATTGTATGTTTCCTGAGGACTCCCAGCCACGCTTCCTGTACAGCCTGTGACACTGAGTTAATTAAACCTCTTTTCTTCATAAATTACCAGGGAGTTCTTTATAGCAGTGTGAGAACAGACTAATAAATAGGATAAAATAGATCCAGAACAAAAAGTATTACCACACATGAAGAAGACTAGTTTATGAAGATAAAGCATTATCTCCTCAGATAACAAATATAAATGTCTATATTTTTAATAATGGAGCTTCAAAATACATGAAGAAAAAATTAACACATTTAAAGGGAGAAATGAAAAATTCTCAATAGTATTTTAAAACCCCCTCTAAGCAATTTATGAGAACGACAGGAATAAAAGTGGTAATACTTATAAGATCTAAACAACATTATCAAGTACCTTGATTTCACTGATATTTATAGAACATTATATCTAACAAGGGAATAATATTTACTATTTAAGAGCAAATACTATATCAGCATGATGCATCATATGAAGGGCCATATAACCAGTCTTAATACATTTTAAAATATTAAAATAATATATAGTAAATAATCTGAATACAATTGTTATAAGTTAGAGGTCAATAACAAATAAAATAACAAGACAACCCCAAATATTTGGAAATCAAAACTCACCTCTAAAAATATTCATGGATCAAATAAGAAATCACAAGAGGAGGTAGAAAACATTTCAAGCCAAATGATAAAAATAAAGCATATTGAAATTTGTAGGATGAGCCTAAAGCAGCTCTTGGAAGCTTATAAATTTAAAGACTTATATTATTAGAAAAGAATAGAATCTCAAATCATTATGAGATCCAGGCTTAGAAAATTGTTTTAAAAAGTGAAAATTAAATGAAAAGTAAGTAGAAGGATATAATAAATTATTTTAAAAATCAATTAAATAGAAATTAAGAAAATATAAAGAAAATTAATGATGCCAAAGTGTGTGTGTGTGTGTGTGTGTGTGTGTGTGTGTGTGTGTGGTGTGTGTGTTTTCAAGGGAAAAATATGGCAGTTATAAAGTAAGCCACTCATGTTTGTTGTAAATAGCCTACTTGACTGATCTACTTGACTTCTAGATCCTCACTGATTTTTCACTATGCAACATTTTCCCTGGGTTGCTTTCAGCCAGTATCTGAGTACAGCATGGGTACTTGTGCTGACCCATCCCTGCCCAACAAAGTAGTCATATAACAGAAAACTTTTGCTCATGACTCATCATCAGACTGGCTCAAACTTTTTCAGAACTGTGCTATTGTATGAGGATCTTCTAACTCAATCCTTTTATTTCACTCTATTTTACAGATCTCAGACTGCATCACAGTCAGAAGGCTTTCCTTATCTTATCTTCTCCTGTTCCTTCACCCTTTTATCCTTCGCAATAATTCCCCACGATAAATCCTTTGCATCCAACACAGGTAATACCCTAAGTCCTGCAGGAAAACAGGAAATAAAATAAGATTTTGGAACTGGTTCTTTCTTTGTCTAGCTGTCAGGAAGGACCTCATACAAAATGTTTATGCGGTATTGACAGTCTCTGGTACTGATGACCCAATTGCCGAGGATATCATGGATATCAATTTTGAAAATATATGGGTGGAGTGGAATGCCCTTGGTGATGTAGTGATTTTTTTAAATAAAAACATTTCTTGCAAGAACAGTAGGGTCATAATTGACACACTGCAGAAGGATAATGAAAAATAAAGTGCACTAAACAAATAAGCAAAGAGTAAGTGTGAAAGCCAGAGTCTCTTTGGCAGCATATAAAGAAGTTTTTATCTCCTGCAGGAAGAGAAGACACAGCTGAATAGACAACTGAAGATCTGATAGTTAGAAATGCAAAGATTACGAAGACAGTAAAGTCCTAAGATTAGACTGATCTTTTATGTTACTATCAGGGCCCTGACTGGGAAACTTGGATACCCTGAAATATATGGTGAGGACACCTACATGGGTTCTTGTGAGAATTTTGGCTCTGTTTTAAAACCCCTCAGAATCCTCAGACTATCAAACAAATGGCCCTTTCCTCTGGAGAAAGAGCCAGCACTCCTTCACTTCTTCTACACAGAAATAGGTGCTCCTCAGGAAACCTATCTCCTTTCCTGTCTTTCTTGCCAATAACAATAATTAAATCCAGTCACAACCCACCAGGTCATGCTGAGACTGAAAAGGGAAGAAATTACATGGTAAAGGGCTGCAAGAATTTGCAATATATTCTTGGAAGTGGGTATGAGGGTGATTGATCCAGGGAGCCAGACAATAAGACTACATAATTAAGACATTGATAACCTGGGAGTCCTTTCTCAGGTCACAAGATTTAACATGCTGGCAGGAGCCCTGAGGAATGGGTTATACTTTCTGCTAAGGTATCTCTTATAAATCAGGGAAAAGCAATGGTTCATTTTGAATGATGTGGCAATTTTCTGTTTCTTTGCCTGACATGAAGGAATGTACAAAGAAGCTAAAAAAGGGAACTTGCTGAAATTTTCAATCACAAGGAAAGAATGGCAGAGCAGGATATTGACAGTGGCTGACCTGTTAAAAGTCACCATGCCTTGCTGAGTTTCTGGATTTTAGTCAGTTATCTGAGCTGGAACCTATTGACTGCAGTGGTTGTGTAGTCCCAGAGGTATTATGCATATATAGTGTATTGTGCACTATATTGTTTCCCCAATTGTTCTTCAAAGCTACTGGTGGTCATTTACTTAGGTGATTACACACTGGGGAAAGATATATCCAAACATTTTGAGAGCTAAGAGACACAGCATATAAGTTGGCACTGAAATTAGAGGACCAAAAGTGTCACTATGGTTCCACTTTTAGAGTGTAGGCTCAGGGGGGCATGTAATAAATGAACTCTTGGATAACGAGTAACACGTAATGGGTCCACTGAGTTTGCAAACCATCCAATCACCATTTCCCCAGTCCCAGAATTTATAATTGGGATTGATTGTCATTAGTATAACAACCACATTGGGCCCTTTGCCTATTAGATAAAAGCTAGCATCAGGGGAAAATGACAAATGGAAGTGTTTCCAATTCGCTTCTTGGCCAAAATAAATCATATAGATGGAAAGAATGGAAGGGACTAGTGATACCATTAAAGACATAAAGAATGAAATGTTGGTGGTCCCTGTTATTTTTATACTTACAATTACACTCCCTGCCTATAGAGAACCCAGTGAATCCTAGGGAACACTGGAGAAAACTGAAAACTCAACTAAACTGTGGCCTCAATTGTAGCTCCTGCACTGAAAGTTGTATAATTGCTAGAGCAGATTAATAAATTCTTAGTCTCTTATATGCAGTTGCTCATCTCTTAATGTGTTTGTTCTTTTATATTCATTTAAAAATAAGATCACAAAGTTTTCATTGGAACTGACAATATTGATTTTTTCTAAATTTGTCTCCACCAAAATTCACCTATAGAAACCTAATTGCCAATGGAATAGTATTAAAAGATGCGGTCTCTAGAAGTTGATTAAGTCATGAGGACAGAGCACTTATGAATGGGATTAGTGATCTTATAAAAGTGGTAAAAGAGAGCTGTTTGTCCCTTTCACTCCTTCTACCGTGTGAGGATGCAGCAACAAGGTGCCATCCTTGAAGCAAAGAGCAGGCCAACACCATTCAGGTTCCTGAATCTTCTGGAACCTCCATCTTGGACTTCACAGCCTCCAAAACTCTGAGAGATACATTTTCTAGTATCTAAAAGTTACCCATTCTAGTGCATTTTGTCATAATATCAGGGACAAACTAAGACATATATTTATTCACAATATTGTCCCAAATAACCTGGCCGACTGGTCTGAAGTTTAGAAGGAACAGCATAAGATTAAAAACAAGGAAGTGTAGGTTATAGGCACATGGATAGACACATTCACCACCAGGAATCATCTTCTGAGGAAGACACAATGAGAGACCAAAACGACTCTCACAACAGACCTTAATCATCTTTTGCTATTAGCCACCACAGGATGGTATAACGCACACATGAAAGGACCTGCCACAGTAGTGAAGATGGAGGCTACATACAAACTGAACAATGTAGACTCTCACTTATCAAGATCTATCTAGCTACTGCTGCCTTGGAATTTTCAAATGGACATTAACAAGGACAGTCCTGAGTCCTGGGATATGGATCTATTACTCGAAGAGAACAATGAGTCAGTCCATTGCTGGAAAATTGACTAAATTAAGACCTTCCCATCATATAAGGCTCAGTGATCTCTTTATGAAAGAGATCTCCCTAAAGTTTCATGTTTTTCCTTATAAAGAAAAATACTTACTCAGGGAATGAGAGTTTCCCTATCTGTTTGCAGAACCTTGGCAAGCACAAACACATGAGTGTTTACAAAATATCTAATTCACAGTCATGGAATCCCATATAACATAGCACCCAACCAGGAACCTAAGATATAGATAAAGAGTTATGGAAGAAGGCCCATGACCATGAGGTCCATTGGTTGTATCACTTATCAACCATAGAGAAACAATCAATCAGCCTCATTGAGCTCTGAAATGGCTCAATGGAGGCAAAGTTGAAGGAATAATTTTGAAGCAATGCTCTGAAAAAATATGGAATCATTCTTCAAGATACAGTATATACATTAAATCAGAGACTTAAGTATGATGTTGTTTCTCCAATGGGAAGAAAACCTGGAATCATGTATCAACTGGTTGAAACAAAAGCAACCCCATTTGCCATCATTTCTAGTCCCCACTGGGGATTGTTTGCTTCTTGTCCCCAAGCTGGCAGGTTGGAGATTTAAATTCACAAAAGAAGCACACTCTTTCCAAGAAATACAGCAAACGTTTTATTGAGCTGGAAGATATTACTACTGCAAGACTGTTTGGACTCCTAGTTCCCAAGGAACCACAGCTGAGAAAAGAACCACTGTCTTTAAAGGGTAATTGAACCTAATAAACAGGAGATTGCTCTAGTTTTAAGCAATAGGGACTAGAAGTATGGAATGCAAATTATTTACTTGGGCATCTCTTGATTCTCCCTTAACTGTTTACAATTGTGAATGGAACTTAGCAGCAACTGGCTTGAGAAGGGGTATGACAACCAAAGGCTCAGACCACTTAGAAATGGGGATATAAGGAAACCACAAAGACCTTCCAAGGTCATAGCAAGAGGGGGAAGAGATAAGAATAGAGTAGGAAGAAGAGAACAAGGTAACAGTTGTGTCCTCAAGACCAACTGCACCAACAGGGACGGTAGTTTATCCTACTAACCTCACTTTTGTCAGTTTCCCCTCAGCAAGAGAGACTCACAGGATTTATGAAAGAGATATCCCTAAAGTTTCATGTGTAAGTGTATCTCTTTGGGGCAAGCTGTAGACTGTGGCACCCATGGAAGTATTTTTCTCAAATCTCTTTCAAGGCAAACTGATGGGGAGAATTGACTGATAGAATTAGCTGCACTGGCATTCATTTAGGCAACAGTAACCTGGAACTGCTCTTTGTCAAAGACAAGGCAGGGCCAGGGTACCAGTCCTGGCCTATTTCTGCCTAACACAGAAAGGACTTCTTACCGGTAAACCCATTGCCACAGCCAACGATTTCTCAGAACTATGCTGTGGCCTGAAGGTCTCCCACTCAATTCTTCCTTCCCTTTCTCTTTTCATAGCTGTCAGACTGCACTGTGGTCTGAAGGTTTTCTCCTAATTTTCCCTCTTCCTTTATCCTTCATGAGAATCTTCATAGTAAATCCTTTGCACAAAAAATTCTGTTTTGATGTTTGCCTTTCAGAGAATTCAGACAGAAACCATTGATATCATTCTTTAGCCTCTGGCTAAACTGTTTAAAAAAATACAAGAAGACAAATGGTCATCAGGAATGAGAGTAGACATCACTACAAAAGACTTAAAAATATAATAATGAAGTATTGTGTGTTTTTCCAAGAAAAAAGAAAATTTAGCAGTTTAAAAAAATCTGGTCTGACGCTACAGTCAAGTAGTCCTGAAATATTGTAGCATAGGTACAATAATTATTCCCAGGAGAAAAAAAAAAGGTAACTGAAGATCCCAAGCTAGGTGAGACTACCTCCTCGATAATTATGGGACATGAAATCTGAAAATAAATTGCCTAATGATCTTTCTAAAAGTGGCATAGATAGGTGTGGCTGGGTTTCTACCATCTAGACAATTCCTTTTTCTTAATATAGAAAAATCACCAAGATGGGTAATTTATTTAATGTATCTTCTTGTGAGTACTCAAAAAATTATATGAACAGAGGCAAGTCAATATCTATAATACTTTCAAGACATTTCCCTAGTTAAATAGAGCAAAATTGAGAAGAAAAACTCCCAAGGAAACCGGGAAAGTGCTTATTATGGCCAAAGAAAGACTTGAATATAGAGAAGCCTATTTTGTATATTTGTAGAATTTTAGGCCAGGCACAGTGGCTTACACCTGTAATCCTAGCATTTTTGGAGGCTGATTGGGGGCAGATCACTTGAGGTCAAGAGTTTAAGACCAGCCTGGCCAACGTGGTGAAATCCCGTCTTTACTAAAAATGCAAAAATTAGCTGGGCATGGTGGTACACACCTGTAGTCCCAGCTACTCAGGAGGCTGAGGCTACAGTGAGCTAAGATTGCGCTACCATACTTCATCCTGGGCGACAGAGCAAGACTTCATCTCAAAAAAAAAAAAAAAAGGAATTTTAATTTTTGTGATTTTTTTAGTATTCCAAGTTTCCCCTTCGGAGTAATTTGTTGTTTAAGGAAAGAAAGTAGTCCTTTGAATGTTAGATTAAAAATGTGTATTCTATTTGAATTAATTCTCTTTGAGTACTTTAAATAATATAAGCAAAAATCTTAAGGAAAGGATACTGAATTCACGTGCTAGTGTTCTGATCCATATAAGAACCAACCCTAGACTAATATATTCTCTACTGATTTTGATTTTTATATCATTTTAAACCCTAAGACAATGTATTATTATTATTAATTATTTTATTTATTTATTTATTTTGAGATGGAGTCTGTCTGTCACTCAGGCTGGAGTGCAGTGGTGTAATCTCAGCTCATTGTAGCCTCAGCCTCCTGAGTAGCTGGGATTACAGGCACCCACCACCATGCCTGGCTAATTTTTGTATTTTTAGTAGAGATGGGGTTTCACCATCTTGGCCAGGCTGGTCTTGAATCCTGACCTTTTGATCCACCCTCCTCGGCCTCCCAAAGTGCTGGGATTACAGGCGTGAGCCACTGTGACTGGCCGACAATGTATTCTTTTTAACGTTATTGTTTAAAATTATCAGATGGTATTCTATCCTCAAAATTCCTACCAAGGAAACTCTCCAAACACTAGCAAAAATTCCAGTGCAGAGGTATGAAGCAAACAGTAGGGAATAAAAGGAATATAAATTGAAATTCTGTCAATTCACATGTGAGAATTCTTTCTAATCCTCATTCCAAATGATAAATATTAAAGAAGTTAGATTTCATGCTAACAAATAACAGTAAAACATTATTATATGTTGTCTATTATAAATTATATATAACACTATGCAGCATATTTATATATAACTATATGTTAATATTATATTAATAAGGCATTTTATTGATTACAAAAGTCTTTACTAAATTTAATATACACAATAAAGATATGAGATAGGCTTTGTAATTAAATCCCCGTTAATAGTTTATGCAAGCTACTTAACCTCTCTGGGACTTACTTGGCTTATTATAAAAAGAGGGAATTAAAGCACAGTAAATAATTTTATACCCTAATATATACCCTATTACAGAATATGGGTGTCCCTTTATTAAGTAGATACTACAATATTACGCATTATGGTGAACTTGTATTCAAAGGACAGCAAAATAAATTCAGAGATCTGTGTGAAGGAGACAAAATATAATCTGAAACTTGGGTATTTTTCATTGGCACATCTAAAATTAGAAGTCTTTTTGAGATGTGATGGTCCAGAGGGAAAAGAGAAATAAATTTGTGATCTCTAAAATAAAAGATAACTGAGATTTGACTGAAAATTTGTACTTCACAGGACAGACTTTAAATTATACATATTTTATTTCTTTTTCTTAGTCTTCTGATATGTTTAAACTCTTTTTTGAAAGTTCCAGTGTATCTCACCTATGCTAACCAACTTAAAAGGACAGAATTTTGACTTTGATTTGCTCAGAGCATTAATTAACATATTTATGCATTTTTGAATGGCAAATATTGGTGTCAGCAGCAAATGAGGGAAGATGTAACTTGATACCATAGAATGAAGGACACTTAATCAGTTACCCTCCTTCTCTCCACCTACAACCTTCAGCTATAAATAATGATGCAGGATTTTTCTCAGTCACTTGTCAGCTGGAGACCCCCAGCTGGCAATGCCCTGGTCCAAGCCTTGTTCAGGCCCAGGTTCACTGCAGGGGACACTCTGTCCACTAGGCTCACTGGGCCATATCTGGCCTGAGCTCTGGCTTGGATCCTGTGTCTGCTGTGACTGTGTACTCAGCCCCTAGTGGGAGTGGGTATGTGAGTGAGCGAGTGCAGGGTCCAGCCAGCCATTCCAAGCCTTGAGCCATTCCAGCCTGTTCCAAGCAACATAGAAGCACAGAAGCAGACTCCATGTGGTGCTTGCAGCTGGACCAGGCGTGTCGCAAGCCACTCCCATGGTAGACTCCAGTGTTCAGACAAGGGGAACAAGGTGACACCCAGGCAGGGGTGCCTATGGCCCTGAAGCCCCAGAGCAGGTGTTAGCAGCATGCTAATAAGCTTTTTTAGACTTGTCATTTACACCCCCAAGGACAGTGGCACATTAACAGCTTTGTCAGCCCCTTGCCCTCTCCAGCCCGTGGCTCCAGGGCTAGCTTGGACCCACTGCTGCTTCCATCTCACGGGGTGGTTGCCCCCAACCAGCGGAGGGCAGAGGGCCATGGTGTTTTAGCCTTCTCTGTACCCACGTTTGCTAGGCCCTGAGCTCTTGTCCTGCATCCAAGAAGAATGAAGATATGCTGACAGTCAAAGGGTGAGAAGAGCTGAGAAGAATGTTATTGAGTGACAAACCATCTCTCATCTTGAAGGTGGTTCCCCACCCATAGTCTGGTAGTTTCTCTCCCAATACGGCTGGGTTTGGGGCTTTTACGGGCTCAGAATGGGGAGTGCGTGCTGATTGGTTTTTGAGTATGCAAAACAGGTTAGAACAAAGTCACCACACAAAGGTGGGCATGACAATGTAAAAAGCCAATTAGGGAAGGGTAGGTATATGTAAAATAGGTGAAGTGTGGGGATCAATAAGAGGAAAGAGCACCAAACAGGAAGACAAGTTCTCAATCCAGTCCATGAATTTGACTTGCAGCTTGGCTTTCAGGCTTTAAACCTTCTCTGGCTTGAAGGTGGGGTTTCACCTGAGATCCCCCATATCTGCCTAGGATTTGTCTGCTTCCTGCTGCTATCACTAATAGCATTGAACATTAGAAGTCTGAGTTTTGACAACCCAGGTACCTTCCCAAACTGAAAAAAAAGTTGAAAAAAAAATCATTTATAATGCTTTACAAAACAATTCACAAACCATTTTTGTTAGTATCACATGGATGTTTTTAAAAGTACAGAGTACTACATCCTATTTTAGATAAGCTATATGGAAAACTTTGGTCTTAAAATCCAAGGAGCTACATTTTAAAATACTTCTAGTTTAGATTGCTTTCCTGAAGTGCCCTTTTCTCCTAAAAAAAAAAAAAAAAAAGTTAATAGTTTAGGGATGATGCTAATCATCCCTAGCCATCATCTTTCTTTAGATAATGAGGGTGACACTTCCATAGCATGTTGCTACAGAACATTTTTCCTACCAAAACCATATTTAACATAGTCAAAAATGTTTATGAGCTATTGTAAAATATTTGTTTAAATTTTCAGAGGATGGCATACATAATTTTAAGTATTTTTTGCCCCAAATAGAACAGCTTGGCTATATGGGTAAAATAATCTACAATTTGTATATTAACTCTGAAATAGAGGCATTTAATATGAACAACATGTAAAAATTAATTTTCTTTTTTAGATGTATTCTAGCTCTTAAATTCATATATTATGACCCTTGTTAAGGTTTAGACATAATAATTGCATCATATTGAGTGACTGGATATTAAACACTTGTTTGGAGAATGGGAGGAGAAGATTTGGCTAGAGAATAAGAAACAGCACTATTCCATTATGACTTGATACAATCTGATGTATTTTACTAAGAAAGATTCATACTAATAGATAATTCAGATAATTATCCTGTTCTTAAGATACTGGACTAAGTTACATGTATGTTCACTCTCATTTAAATATCAGTGAAATATAGATAATAATAATTGTCTGGGGCCCCATTCTTATTGATGATTAGCATTGTTTTTTAAAAAGCTAAGAAAATAAACAACAAAATAGTAAAAGCATAAATAAAACATATAATAATCTATCATATATATAAATTTCATCAGCACACCTGATTGCCCACTCATGAACAAATCAGAAAGGTTTTGATGATTTGTTAGAAGTTTTATTTTGTTCTCTCAAATGTATTGGGTGATATGGACAGTCAGGAGCCTACAGATTAGGTGACCAATGTTAATGAGTGCTAGAGTTTTCTGTCCAGCTTTCATTCTGTGAATATAAGATATAGTTCACAATTATCTTCCTTTGTTAAGACAAATGTAATATAAAGGGAAGAGAAGACATGAATTTAATGGGGATGGACTGACAAACACATAACGAACTTCTAAGTAGGATTCCATACGTAAAAATAACCCACTACACACATACAGAATTTTTTTTGTATACATATGACCTGTCTACTTTCCCCAAAGCACATGTCTTTTGCAGTATATACTCAGAAGGGAATACAATGAAAATGTTTCTAGACAAAATCAACTTATCTGTATATTGACCTTTTTTCTGTGTGATATTTCAAATGAAGGTCAGTAGTCTTCAAACCAAGGACACAGGATAAGCACAAAAGGGCATAAGCTATGATGGGAGAGGTAAGCCATGTAATTTGAATCAATCTACTGGTAATGGATGGAACATATATATAAACTAGATCTCCAAACATCTGTATATTTCATAATCAAATTTCAAGTGACTATGACATTATTTCCTATTTTATAGAATTACATATTTTGATATTTCTATTGCATAAAATATATGAATACAGAGAAAGAATAAAAGTACAAGATGCACATGCTTATGTCAATAGGTAAAATGCTATTCTGTGTTATTTAAAATGAAAAATCAAAGCTAAAACTCTAGTGATAAAGAGGTAACATGCTTCATTTTTATTTTCTGTCAACTGATGTTCCCTGGTAGTCTAGTGATTAAGTTTCAGTGCTCTGTCTTATTTTCTATGAATTTAGTATGTGTTACATAAGGTTATATCTATTTGAACTTTTATTTCAATATTTTATTAGACTAATTGAATATACCGCTTTTTGTTTTATCTTTTTTTCTAATAATCTATAAATTAGGAGGCAAAGTATTTTCTTCTCTCCCAAATACATAAAACCCTTATGAATATAGATAGCTTTATTTCTGAATGTCTTTCAATTGCTTTTTGCCTTGCTAGTTCCTTATCCTATAAATTATTTGAATAGAAAAGATGTTTATTTAATTAAATTATAATATTCTTGGTTCTTTATTTTGAAAGTCTGCATAAGTACAGCTTCGTGGTAATTCCTAAGATTTCTTTTGGAACATTCAAAACACTCAGTTTGTTCCTATTTAGAAAATAACTGATGAAAAAATATAATTCAAAAGAGGCACACTAATAGTTCACTGATATTGATATATCTTCTGCTTCAGCAATACTGCATAGAAATGAAATTAAAATCACAAAAGCATAAAAAGACATTTAGATGCATTAAAGAAGGCAACACACAGGAACCAGAAGAACTGGTGATCAACATTCATTACCTTCTCATTCTTCTCTTTTATGCACAATAAACAGTGCTTTCATTTTCTTTTATTTATTCAGCCATTTATTTCATTTTTAGCCCACATTTTACCTTAATATTTTTTATCTTATGTCTCATATCCACAATTTTTCTGAGGTTATTTGCAATTATACCAATATATAAAGCAATCCTTCAGCAAGTTAATTTTTAGTTTTTTTGTTTCAGCTGTTATAAATGGAGATAGTTTTTAAAATAGAACTTTATATGGATGTTTTGGTCTGTACGAGTATGTGTGTTTTAATATTATATATGGGGTCTAGCAATTGAATAAAAATTACATACAATTATTCTGTCAATGAATGTGAAAGGCTAAAACTGAAATAACACACAGATACCAGGTTATATAAAGTAGAACAGAAAAGTACATGAACTTTGTAATGTGTCTATAGCAGAGCCTAGGATATTGCCTGACAGGTTGCCTGACAGGCAGAGGGAGCTTTATTATGATTTGTTAGAAAGTTAGGTCATAAATTGGTTCTTAGATGTTTCATTTTAATGCAAATATTTTATTTTAATTTATAAACCTAAATAAAATAATTACTGTATCCCTATACCACTATGTCTTTTGAATTATCCATGTGCATTTGATAAGAAGCTATATTATTATCTAGATTTAAAGTTCACTATATGTCCATAGAATTAACCTTATTTGTTACAGCATTCACCCATTGTAAGTTCTTATATTTTAATCATTTGACTTAGCTTAGGTCATGAGTGATATGTTCAAGTCACCTATTTTCATTGTGCTTTTGTTAACTTATTCTTGTCTTCCTGTTGACAGTGTTTTTTGAAGACAGTTGCTGTCTTATTTGGTGGTAGGTTTTTATAACTGTTATATCTTTATTATGGAAATTGTATTTTAAGATATTAGAAAGTATCTTTTCTCTTGTTGATTTTTCATGTGAATTTTACCTTTTCAGATATTAATCTCCATATCTCTTTTGCTTCTATTTGCCTGATATACCTTTATCTACTCTTTATTGTGTTATCTCTTTCTTTTAGGTACACATCTTGTGTAAAACACAGAGAAGGAATATTTTTTGCAAGCCATCCTAAAACTACCTGTCTTTTAAAGAGGAATAATCTTATTTACATTTAATCGTATAATGTATATGTTTGGTATCATAATTGTTATCATTTTATTTTAAATATATTTTTGTTGCAGCTTTCGTAGTTTGGCAAGTGGGAGGGAATGATGCCCAGAGGCTTTTTCTCCCCTGTTGCTCGGCAAGTGGGAGCGGGGATTACAGAGTTACAGGATTCCTTCAATGCTGCTTCACCAGCCAGAAATCTCTGCAGCCACTGTGACCTCTGCCCAGGGCCTTGCTGGGGCCCATGGAGCTTGCTTCACCCACTCAGCCTAGCAGGCTGCGCTTGGCTTATGCTGTCAGTATGGATCCTGCACCCACCACAGCTCTGCACTCAGCCCACAGCTGGACTGGCAGTGCTACAAGTGACTTCTGTATTGGGCACCAGTGTCTAGACAAGACAAGGGGAATGTGGTGGTGCCTGAAAACTCAGAGATGCCAGAAACTGTGGAGTCCTAAGTGGTGTTATAGCTTATGCATGGGAAGTTCCAAGATCTGAGCCCCCAGGAAATGTTACAGCTCTCTCTCTTTTCAACTGCCCACAGTTCAGCAAGCAGGGGCATGTTACAGCTTGCCCCTGCTTATTCTTGCTGCCCACAGCTCAGCAAGTTCTGTGTTCTTGTCTTGGGACCAAGAGGAATCAGGTATGCACACATCAAAGAGTGAGTAGGGCAGAGAAGAATTTTATTGAGTGACAGAAGGAAAGCTCTCAGAAGAAAGGGGACCTAAGCCCTCTATGTGGCTGAGTCCGGTGTTTTTATGGGCTCTGAATGGGCAAGTGTGTGCTGATTCTTCTATGAGTGGTCTCGGAAAAAGTACCATTTAATTGGTTAAATAGCATTGAGGAAGTTTTCACTCCAGTCATGGAATCTATCCAGAACTGGCAGTTTGGTTTTCAGGCTTCGGGCTGTCTTTGGCTTGAAGGTCGGGTTTCACCAGGGACCCATCCTTGTCTGCTTAGGAATTTGTCTGTCTCCTTTCACTATCATTTTGTGTTATATTTACTCAGTATTTTTCACATAGTTGTCTTTCTTTATTTAATTTTTCAGATTTTGTCCTTTTTTGTATTTTGGAAGATTTATAATTCTTCTCTATTAGTTACTCTTCTCCTAACTCTTGAGAAGGAATCCTCCATGGTGTTTCTAAATGTCTTCTATCAGCTATAGTTCTAAACTATAAGTTTGGGACATTTGTATGCAGACAGCCTTGAAAGATTGAGATTGTGGCTTCCTCCAGGGCAGAATGCATGTTTGTTTCCAGACTAGGATATTAAAGATAATGTCTTCATCCATGTGAAAATTTGGGCAAGTTTTCTACCAGCCCACATTAAAAGATGGAAATTTTCTAAACTCAAGGGTTTTCAGCTGTTACATGAACCAACTATATATATGTGCAGCATCCACTTGTGTACTGCTCAACATTACCCCCTTGGGACCTGGGAAAGGGAAGTGACAGGAACAAGAAGCTCACCTTGCCTGCTGTGCCATAATAATGCCTGTCTCTCACTCAGGAGTCTCGTGCCAGTGTGTATGAAACTGGAAGCCTATTGTCTCAGCTTGCAAGTAAGATAAGACTTCATGTTCTATAATAAGTTCTTAACATTAATGCTTTTTAAAATTTCCTTTTGTCCACCTTTATATTACCCAGGCTACCTCTGTTCAGTCTGTCACCTCGCAAATATTTTTTTCCTCCCACCTAATTCTTACAGGAAATTGATGACCTTGCTATTTTTTGTCAGTGCATATTTCATTTTATATCAATCTTCTATCATTACCCCACCTTTGTGTTAGTCTAAGATCTATGATTAAATATGCTAAATTTTCACTAGCTTTACTTTTGCCCAAATACGACTAGGTAGGCCTATGTGACACTGGTGAAGAACAAATGGGGGATGTACGTGAAGCCACAAATAGCAGGAGGATGATTGTGGGGAGTTACAAAATGTGGCTGTTGGAAAACGTACTACTGAATTCTTTAAGTTAATGAAACAGAAGGAGTGAATGGAGAGCAGATTATAAACCAATATTCTTTATTTAGCCCAGTAAGTACTGGAATATTCTTCCTCTTACCTACTTATATTCCTGAATGACAGACTCACTCAAGTCATGGAGGTGATATAATACACTTAAGCAGTCAAATGTTTGAAAATTGCATTTTTTCATGTATTTGGATCCAAAATATATTCAGGAATCTAGAGCAATGGATAAGGATAAGACCATAAAGAAAGCTTTTAAATCTTTTATGGTATCAGCTCCATTTATTCCCAATTACCGACATTTTTACCTGAATCTAATAAGATGGAGTCCTTATAACGTTAAACATAAACTAAAAGTTTGGTACTCTGTGATAGCTTTATATTTAAAGAAGCAAAGTCTAAATAAATAAATAAATAAATAGATTTTATTTTTTGAGAAAAATAAAAAGTTCCAATTACTAATCCCAATAATACCTGCTTAATATTCTTTCGTCTTCTCTCCAATTGTTCTGCATCTTCTTTCAACAAATTAGAGGTAACCATGATGTAAGAGAAAGGAAATTGCTTCTTGATGGAATAAATATGGTTACTAAGAAAATTAATTGTAGTCACATATAGTCCTTTATAGTAAAACCATGAAAATTAACAAGAAGACTTGTACATTTGGCCATTCTACACTTTAGCAGAAATAATAAAATATAGACTACGCCCCACAGAAAACAGAAATTATACTTTCTTTCTACAACCAATAATAAGCACTATAGAATTAGAATGTTTAAAATTCAACCATATTTGCTTCCATTTGAATTATTTTAAGTATGCAAAGAAATCAGTTACTGTGTTTTATATAACTAATTTGTTATTTTCAATATCAAAAAAGTGGGAAACCTTATATTTGTTATTTTCAATATAAAAAAAGTGGGAAACCTTAGATTCATTGTTTCTATTTGTTCATATCCATGGACTGAAACACTATGACTTGTAGTCACATCTCAGAGTGCCTGCTCTGGGCCCAAGCTTGCTGTTTCCCTCTATTAGAGAAAGAGACTTCATTCATCATTAAGTGTGGTGGAGCTGAAGTCAAAAGATTTCCAAATAAATCCCGAATGGCAGTCAATTAGTCATTACTTTCACAACTTGTCCATACATCTGTTGTTAAGTGAATGTTTACACACTTACCCTCCCTAAAGGCCCACCATGAAACATGGTGACATAGAGCCATGACACAGCCCTGTTCCAAAATATGTCTCCAATGGTAGTTAATCAAAGGATGCCATGAGCTCAACAAAACTTCTACTACTAATACAATACAGTTGAACATTTACTGCTATCATTTCTGCTATAAATCTTGTGAAAGTATTTAGTAAAAAAAAAAAAAAAACTATTAGCAAATACGACTTGCAGTTAAAAGAACCCCCACAGAGCAGCGTATTTCATAATGGCTTTGAATAGTGTGTCAAATCAGACCCTGAAGCAATAATTTTATTTAAAAATATTGTATTTGTTAATGGAATATTATGTTTACCAAATACTTGATGAAAAGCAGAGCATTACATAAATATCAGCTATTTGATACCAGAAAGAATTATAATTTGAACCCCAAAAGCACCAGTAAGAGAGTAAAATGTATGTAAATGACTTCATTTAGCTTAAATTGCAATTACTTGCATTCCTCTGGTATGAAATGAGAATGAATACTTGTTTGTGGCCAACGAACACAGCCAATTAATATTATTTCTTTTTTTTTTTGGATGTTAATTGTATGAAACCTTATTATATTGTAATATATGTATGCAGTTTTATAAATAATAATTGTTTGCATTGTAGAAATTATTTTAAACTAGTTTGTATTACCCTCATAATGTTAAAATAATATACTTCATTACATAAAAAGTGTGACCTCTTATTTTAAAAATATAAAATATAAAATAATATTGATTCATGTATTTATGAGAATTCTACAGGGGAATAACTACATTAGTACTTTTAAATGCTGAATTCAAGATCTTACTTCAAAAGTTGTTATAACTACTGTAATAACCTATACACCACATCCTATGAAGACATATTAGTCTGTTCTCATGCTGTTAATAAAGACATACCCATGACAGGGAAATTTATGAGGACAGAGGTTTAATTGACTCACATTTCCACATGGGTGGGGAGGCCTCACAATCATGATAGAAGGTGAAGGAGAAACAAAGTCACATCTTACATGGCGGCAGGCAAGAGAGCACATGCAGGGGAACTCCCCTTTATAAAACCATTAGATCTCATGAGACTTATTCACTATCACAAGAACAGCATGGGAAAGACCCATCTTCATGATTCAATTACCTTACACCAGGTCCCTCCCACGACATGTGAGAATTATGGGAGCTACAGTTCAAGATGAGATTTCGGTGGGGACACAGCCAAACCATATCAATGTGTTTGTAGTTGGCAGAAACAACTATGATAGAATAATCATGACATAAGTAACTAATATTTCAGGCAAATTGATTTGCTAGGTTTCATTCTCTTTCTCCTGTTCCTTTACCATTTTTCAGAAATATTTGGAAGCATATTAGTTTTTATTTAGATATATGGATTATTTGAATCTTCTATACATTTGCTGAGTTTGAAGCCTTCTTTTCAATAGTTTAAAACTACATAGAATCTAATGAAGAATTCACAAAATGAAACAAATTAGTGGTTTTATGGCATATGTTATTTGGTACTGACAAGCTTTGGTTTTGTCTGTCATGCTAAACTAAATATTCACACAGTACTTATCATTCTTCTCTCTCCTGAACTCTTAAATTTCTAAAAATATGTGAGATTAGTACTTATTAATTTGCTCCTGAAATAAAAGTACTTACATCAAAGGAAAGTAGCCTCTGCATAGGGCTGACTTTGTATATGCCTTTAAAATAATCGCATTTTATGAAAAAATGCACAACATCACAAATCATCAGAGAAATTCAAAGCAAAACCACAAGGTAACATCTCACACCAATCAGAATGGCTATTATTAAAAAGTCAAATAATAACAGATGCTGGCAAGGGTTTGGAGAAAAGAAAATGCTTATATACTGTTGGTGGGAATGTAAATTAGTTCAGCCACTGTGGAAAGCAGCTTCCTCAAGTAACTAAAAATAGAGTGACCAGTCATCCCAGCACTCCCATTGTCACAGGATCCTTGGGGTGTCTGTTCACCAGCCGGAAACCTCTGTGGCCAGCAGCACCTTCTGACTGAGTATTGCTCGCGCCCGCTATGCTCATTTCACCCACTCGGTCCAGCAGGCTATGCTCAGCTTGCGCTACCAGCCTGGATTCCACACCTACCAAGTGCAAGTCAAGTGTGGAGTGGCAAGGGATGTGTGGGCAAGCGAGCGCAGGGTCCAGCCACTGTGCACAGCCAGACACGCTGGCTGCTGCAGGAGGGTAGGAAGCTCCAGGTGCCTGCACAGGTGCCGGCTCCTTGCAAGGCTGCAGCTGGAGGGCGCCGAAGGGGTAGCGGGCTGGCATGTCGGCGCTGCCCGGAGTGGGCACACACCCTCCTGGGTCACGACAGTGCCTGGGCTCAGCCTCAACTTTGCACTGAAATGCAAGCAGGTGCCTGGAGCAGGGAAAGGCCAGGCAGTGGGAGCAGGCACTTCTGAGCCTGCGGGGCACTTCCTGGGTCCCTGAGAGTGCAGGGATGCCCGGGTCTGCAGCCACGCTGGGAGACTGCTGCTGCACCTGGGAGGGCGGGACTCCAGCCCCTCCTTGGAAGGGGGCGGGGCTGCCTCCTATTCCCAACTCCCACCGGCTTGGTTGAGCTCATAGTCCTGGCCATGCCTCTCACTGCAGCCAGTGTCATGGCAGCAGCCACTTCAGACAGGCCACCACTGCCATCACCATTCCTGGGTATATACACAAAGGCAAATAGATTGTTCTACCAAAAAGGACACGTGGACTCATACGTTCACTGCAGCACTATTCACAATAGCAAAGACGTGGAATCAACCTAGGTGTCTATCAACAGTGGATTGGATACAGAAAATATGGTATATATGCACTATGGAATAATCTGCAGCCATAAAAAAGAACAAAATCATGTCCTTTGCAGCCACATGAATGTGGCTCTAGGCCATTATTCTAAGCAAATTAACCCAGAAACAGAAAAGCAAATACCACATGTTCTCACTTATAAGTGGAAGCTGAACATTGGGCAAAAATGGACGTAAAAGTGGGAACAATAGACACTGAGGACTATAAAGGGTGGGAAGGAAAAGCAGGGGACAAGTGTTAGAAATCTACCTATTGGATACTATGTTCATTACCTGGGTGACAAGTTCAACCAAACCCCAAACCTCAGCATCACACAATGTGCAGGTTTGTTATATAGGTAAACTGAAGCACAGGGTTTGTTTTACAGATTATTTCATCACCCAGGTACTAAGCCTAGTAGCCAGTAGTTATTTTATCTGATCCTCTCCCTGCTTTCACCCTCTACGCTCAAGTATGGCCCAGTGTCTGTTGTTCCCCTCTTTATGTTCATGAGTTCTCATCATTTAGCTCCCACTTATAAGTGAGAGCATGCAGTATTTGTTTTTCTCTTCCAGCATTAGTTTGCTGAGGATAAAGAACTCCAGCTTCAACTATGTTCCTGAACAAGACATGATCTCGTTCTTTTTGTGACTGCATAGTATTCCATGGTGTATACGTATGTACCACACTTTCCTTCTGTCATTGATGGGCATTTAGGTTGATTCCATGTCTTTGCTATCACACAATATACTGTTATAACAAATCTGCACATGTACCTGCTGAGATCAAAATAAAAGTGAAAAATAAAATAAAATAATCATATGTAATGACCTCAAAATAGATCAGTTTATATATACATAATTGTCAGTAGATATAATTTTGGTGAAAATGTTATTTTATGTAATTTATTTCAAATACATTGAAATCAAACCCAGTATAATGTAGTAGTTTAGTAAATACATAGAAATAGTAGAAAAAAAATTTCTATACCAGTTATACTTATGTTGTCAAAGAAAGAAATATTCAAATAACATAGCTGGAAATAATCACTGTAGAAATTCTTCATATAATGTATGAATTTTATTATTAAAATTATTATTTTAGTGAAATAATCCTAGAATAATTTCCATCTGTTTATGAGCTTATGAAAAAGATCATATGTTTTCAAAGTTAATATTTTCAATCCCTTTATTTTATTCTTTGTTATATTTTAATTTTGATCACACAAAAATTCACATGGGTATGTGTATAATTCATAGTATTTCCCAGGTAAGATAGGAATAAATATTATAAATATTTTCTTTTCTTTCTCAGTGGAAAATGTAAGATATGGAAAACCTAAACATTGTATATAGGTAAAACTAGAAGGGTAAATTAGATATCACATGATTCACATCCCAACATCTCCTTCATAATCCCAGACTTCCCTTAGTTAAAAATGCAGATGAAGAAGCTACAACTATGTGGAAATTTATATTCTTGCTACCTTTTTGTTGTTGTAGTTGAAGTAATACATAGTAAAGGTAGTTTCTTGGGAGACTATTCTGGGGTAATGTATCTTAATGAATTCTTCTTTAAAACACAGAATTATTTTAAAACATTCTTTTCATATATTTTTATTCTTAATAGCTCTCCATATATCATGTCAGAATATGAGAAATCAGAAAGTTAAAAATATTTGGCAGAATGAGGTACATTAATACTCATTACTAAAGTTATTTATGTTCTAAGATGAGTACATTATGAGCAAATTATATATATTTATTAGTTATACTTGTGATATATAGATATTTCTCAGAAAAATCTAGTTTTGGTATAAGCTATTTTAATAGACTAGCAAATATTTCTTTAGATAATTTAGTGAAAATATTAAAATATATTGCTATCTGAATAAAACTATAAAAATATTAATAATATTTCTGCATCTGTTATGCTTTGTCATGGAAATAAACGTTAACATACAATAATTGGGCTTCCATATTTAAATAAAAAAAGAATTATGGCAGGATCTTGTAGATATCCCCTAAAACCTGTTCTCCACTTCTATCATAGAAATTGAAAATCCGCCTACGAAAATTACCACCTATTAATAGTATAAAGAGAGCAGGTTGATGAACTTTCCTTGCAGCTAGATATGCCCACATGAATAAATTCAGCCTAAAAGAATATGAACCTAAGTTCTCACAGAAGCTTTCTTCACGATTTCTTTATATAGACTTGATGCTGCCACTTTTCTATCTTGTTTCTCTTTCACCCGACCTTAAACATAGACTTTAACTAGAACCAAGAGAATAAAGAGTGGGCTTCTAAGCCTGAAAGAGCCTGAATCCTTAAGGAATTTGTGGATCAGACTCGAATTTTATCCCTCTATAAAATTACCTACAGGAAATAAACTTCTATCTTAGTTATGCCACTTTTATTTCAGTTTTTCTAAATAATATTATTTAATTTTTTCTATTGTTTCTATAGCCAAACAAAAGGTTGCTTTCTATAGGAATGAATAAACAGATCATTATACTTTAAAGGATGAGGACAGGTATCCTGTCATTGTGTATCTGTTAGGGAGTTATCTAATTACATAAGAACTTCATGTTAAAGATTAAATCTGGCAGAGGCCTATGTTTGCATGGTCCATGAGCTAAGAATGGTGTTTATATTTTAAAGTGTTGTAGAAAACAAAAAAGAAAGAGAATTCATGGCAAAGACGCTATGTGGCTTGTCAAGCCTTGTTTAGTATATGGATGGCCCTTTATAGTAGAACTACACAGAACCCAAATCTATAAAATACTCTGTGGTGACATTCTCTGACAAGAGTTTCCTTTTAAAAAAAAACTATCATTATTTTGTCTTCAGTGTTCTGATCTTCATAATGACAGAAAGAATCTAATATTGAATATGCAGATGTTAATCATGTAAAGCAAGAAAAAATGAACCACTGGACTCTGAGGTTTAGCTAAAATAGTCACTTGTGATGAGTGAGGTCAGCTATTGACACAGCACTTCATCCAAGGTAGTAACTTTAAAAAGTATGATCAGAGAATTCCAAAGTTCTGTTTAGGAGATCACCATTAACCATAAAGTCTAGATTATTTTCCATGTCTAAATCCATGAATCACAACTAATCTAAACTTATGTATATTAGGGCTCTCCAGACAACAGCATCAATAGGACATATATATATATATATATATATATATATATATATATGTATATATATATATATAGTAAGAGAAGATGTAATAGAGGAACTGGCTTACATGGTTATGGAGGACCAGAAGTTCCACAGCACAGAGATCTGCCAGTTGGAAAATTGGGAAAACCAGTGGTATAGTTCAGTTTAAGCTCCAAAGGCCTGAGACTCTGGGCCAGTAGTATAAGTCCCTCCAGGTCTGAGTCAAAAAGCCAAGAAACCAGGAGCACTGAAGTCAGAAGGCGATATCTCAGCTCAAGCAGACAGAATGAATTACCCCTTCTCTGACTTTTTATTCTGTTTGGGCACTCAATAGATTGACTGATGTTTGCCCACATTCGTAAGGGCCCATCTTTTCCACTCTGGAACTAGTAAGTTCCAAAGCTAACCTCTTCTAGAAGCACCCTCGCAGGCATACCCAGAAATGTTTTACCAGCTATCTGTATGTCCCTTAGCCAAGTCAAACTGACACATAAAATTAGCCATCACACTAAGAAATGTATAGACAAAAATTCAAAATATAAAGAAGGAATTGTTCTTCTAAAGTCAAATAATAAATATAGCATATGTAAAGATTTAGAAAATAGAAAATACATTAGTTCAATATTATTTAACAAAAGGAAATCACAAATATAAAGTGAGAGTGACAGAGCATTAGGGAAAAGCCACTATTGTGGGTGGAATTTTAGACTTCCTCAATATTTTGATGAGATTTTTTTTTCTTTTTTATGTAACATTTATTTATAGCATGCCTATTATTACCTGAATAATGTTACAGGGAAGAAAAGAGTAAAAGAATCTAGGTTTTTTAAGAAGCTTGTTGGCTAGTGAGAGAAGAAAGAAAACTAAAATAAAATTATAAGCAATAGAAAATGTGAGATTATGTATTCTATTGGTTCTTCTGGAAAACACTAATACATCATAATAGGAAATATGAGAAAAATTATAGGGAACAAAATGCATTGATTGTACAAAGGTTAGTGGAGGATGGAGCTATAAGAAAATACTAGATTTCGAAACATCTTTTACATCAAATGGAGGAGCTTGGACATCATCCTTTAGGCAAAAGGGATTCATGGATGGATTTTAAATAAGTGGGTTTGCATGTAACCAGATAAGTCTAGTTCTTCCATGAAGAGCAAAAGATAAGTCTAGTTCTTCTACAAAGATAAGACTTTGAAAAAGGCAACTATTTAAAATACTTTTGAAAGCAGTGTTAACGAGGGGTGATGAGTACCTATGGTAAATCAGTGACAATACAGATAGAAAGGAGGACATTCAAATGAAACATACTTAATAAAAAAAATTGACAGAATTGGTAACTTAGAGATACAGCATGTGAAACAGAAAGAATACTTATCCCATTCTAGCACTGGTGAAATGGGAGAGTTCCCTGATTCCCCTCAGGGTGTGTGACAGGGGTGTGGCTCACCTGTTTTCTCACCTGGCATCTCAAACCCCTTACCGGAGGAGGAGCTCACAGAGGGGCAGGTGCGGGAACTGGGGCAAGCTCTTTTGGGCTCTGGCTCCACCGCCGCGTCTAGGGGTGAGTGTCTGTGGCTCCTGAAGCCCAACTGGGCGTGTGTTACAGTGTGCTCCTTTAGCTTTGCTGTCTGCAGACTGCTTGTGTATTAATCAGCTCAATGAACCCTGTGCCTCTATCACAAGGGCAAGGGGCGAGTGTGACAGCCTTCTGTATCCCGAGCTCTTGCCCAGTGTCCTGAAAGAATTGGACCACACGCGGGCTCAAAGGATGAGTGCAAGGTTTTACTGAGTGACGGAAGTGGCTCAGCAAGATGGATGGGAAGCCGGAAGAGGGGATGGAGTGGGAAGGTGGTCTTCCCTTCAAGTCGGGCTGTGCAGCAGCCGGGCTCTTCTCCGACCGCCCCTGGTCAAACTACACTGGGGATCTCGACGTCTCTCCTCTTCTTTCTCTGCCATGGCATTCCGCCCTCACTGGTCTGCTGGTCTGCTGGTCTCTTCTAGAACTTGGGATTCAGGGTTTATATGGGTGCAGGACAGCGGGCGTGGCAGGCCCAAAGGCAACCTTTTGGGCGCAAGAACAGAAATACCTGTTCTCATTTAGGGCTGTGGGGATCCAAGCTTGAGGGTGGGACCTTTGCCAGGGAACACCACTCTTCTACTCAGTATTTCCCTGTCTCCTGTTTCACTGGCACTGGATTGGACAATGTGTTTCCAAATACAAGAAAGGAAAATTTTAAGAAAGAAAATCAGAACTTAATTTCAGATTGTGTGTTTAGAGTGCTATTTGGAAGACAGAGAATAAAACACAAAGAATGTAAATATTTAAAAGATTATAGCATCAAGATTCAGCAAGTAACTAGCTTATGCGATTAGAGAGAGGCAAGTTAGAGCTATCCGAGATTGCTTGGGTAGCCGCTGGTGCTATCAAGTTAGATAAGGAATACAAATGAAGGAATGGATTTTACAGGAGGTGATAAGTTCAAATGTGAATATTTTTAATTTGAAGTTTCTTTGGAACATTTGTCAAGAAGATAGGTATATGTCAGAAAGAAATTTGGACTAGAGAATATGAGTCTTCCAGTCTTTCATTTATCAGTCATTCTTGGGACCATGAAGTTGAACAAAACTTCCTGAGAACAAGAATAGTGGCCTGAAAATGGAAACCTAGAAGCACCACACACACACAAAAAGAGGGTTCAGGAGTAGAAAAGAAGAGAGGGGAGTAACCAGAGTGATTCCTGCTGGCAAGAAAAAGAGTGTGCACAGAGAATGTGTGGCAACAGGAAGAGACCTCAGAGAAAAAAGTCAAAGTAGGATCTTTACAATAGAAAACCTAGCCCATGTATTTGAGAAGTGATTTTAGACAACTCTTTTGGAAATTTAGTAGAGACAGAAGATAGAAGAGTAGATAGAAGAGAAGATAGAAAAATAGTTGTAGAGATAATGTAATTAAATGAGTCTTTTTATTTTGTTAACCAAAAAAAAATCCTAATGCCCCCCAACCATCTGAATGTACTTCCTCCTTGGCCAGGGCACACTACAATTTAACCTGAAAGACTGGCTCAGGCCATGATGGGAAGTGGGGTGTCAGACATGCCTCATTATACCCTTCAGCATTAACAGCAACACAGACCTTAAATCTGATAAGAAACATTTATAATCTATTCTCTCTGAAGCACGATACCTGGAGGCTTCATCTGCATGATAAAACTTTGGTCTCCATAACGCTTATCATAACTCAGACATTCCTTTCTATTGATAATAACTCCTTCAACCAATTACCAATCAGAAAAAAATTTAAATCTACATGTAACCTGGAAGCCCTGCTTTGAGTTGTCCAGCCTTTCTGGACCAAACCAATGTATATTTCAAATGTATTTGATTAAAGTCTCATGTCTCCCCAATATGTATAAAACAAAGCTGCAGCCTGAACATCTTGAGCACATATTCTCAGAGTCTACTGAGGGCTGTGTCATGGGCCATGGTCACTGATAATTGATTAGAATAAATCTCATCAAATATTTTAGAGTTTGACTCTTTTCATAGACAATTTATTTTGTTTGTTCAGGGTGAAAGCATATGTAAGAGAATATAACTGAAAGAGAAAGAAGATTATGGCACAGTTGGACTCATTGACCTTAAGAAAAAAGAAGGATTATCTTATTTAAAAATGGAGAAAAGACCATAAAGATGAGTGATAATGTAAAGAAATCTGAAATTAGGCAGAAATTTTTTGAGAACCAATGTACTGAATAACTTCAAATTTCTCAATGAATTATTTGTGTTGGCTATTTGTTATAAGGTTTCTGGACATTTAATAGTGCTATGCAGAGTGATTAAGATTTGGGATAATTTTCTCATATGATAAATTTGTAAAGCTTATAATGTAAAAGTAGATGACATTAATTGGGTCATTCTTGTCATCCAACCAAAACAGAGTAACAGCCAAGGGCAAAATGCACTCAGGGAACAAAACATTGTCCAAGAATGCAATTCTCTGCAAATGTGACTGCTGAAATTGCCTGCTATAACCTGAAACCCATATTATCTAACAGTTAATGAAATAACCTGCTACAGCTCTAAGACTAGTTTTAACCTTCACCACCATTACTTACCAATTAGCACTTACTAGCGTAGTAGCAGTTATTAAGAAATTATTTTAGGCAGATAGAGAGGAAAAGGGGTCCTCAGAAAGTTTTCATTGCTTTTAAAGTAGCTCCAGAAATGTTTGTTGTCTAGCAGGAAAGCCCAGGCACTTACAGCAGGCCAGCAACCTTTGATATGCAAATGCCAGCCATGAGAAACTGGGTCCACTGGCCAGCATGGTGACTCATGCCTGTAATCCCAACACTTTGGGAGGCTGAAGCGGGAGGATCATGAGGTCATGAGTTTGAGACCAGCCTGGCCAACATGGTGAAACCTCTGCTCTACTAAAAATACAAAAATTAGCCATGTGTGGTGGTGCAGTGCCTGTAATCCCAGCTACCAGGAAGGCTGGGGCAGAAGAATCGCTTGAACTGGGAGGTGGAGTTTGCAGTGAGCGGAGATGGTGCCACTGCACTCCATCCTGGGTGACAGAGCCAGACTGTATCTCAAAAAAAAAAAAAAAAGAAAAGAAAAAGAAGAAAAAGAAACTGGGTCCACCCAAACATGGCAATTCCCACCATTGTCCTCTTGCCCTTGCCCTGACATGTGCCTGGCAACATGGCCACCTCCACATAGGCCCATGTATGTAGAACATCATGGCACCCTGCATTTGCATATTAAAGGACTAGGGTGGGATGGCCAGTTTTTTGGGGGCTACATGAATGACATGCCTGGTCAAACCAATCCCCTGAGCCCTATGCAAATCAGACACCACTTCCTCCAGCCTACTCATATAAGCAGCCACTTTTCCATGGCACACGGGATCTCCTCTCTTGGCTTTGGAGCCCCCCTCCCTCTGTCCCTGTACAGGGAGCTTCTTTCTTCTCCCTTCTTTTTGCCTATTAAACTCTCCGCTTCCTAAAACCACTCCACGTGTGTCCGTGTCGTTTCACCCAACTCGCGGGAGACAAGAGCCGTGCTGTTCCTCCACTCATTGGAGCCATATCGCCAGCTCCCAGAAACTTTATGGGTGCCAGTGAATTTTCTTGCAAAACACTATGTAATATTTCTCCTTTTTATACAACTTCCAACCTTCTCTTTGTTCTTTGGACATACCAGAGGCCACCTGATCTGTGCATATGCCCTGGATTGCAACTCCTGCTTCCCAAATGAAATGTTTGAAATTTAGAGATTTGTCTCTATGTTTTATTTGATTTTGACAATAACTTATTTCTGACAGTCATTAGTCATCAATATTTAGCAACATAATAGGTACATTGTTGCAGCATTGCTGGTTGAGAATTTTCTTTGTGTGCTGTAGTGAAAGAGAGGGCCCCGTGGAAAAGGGAAGCATGAAATTTGAGTATTGGTTCAGAAATAGTTCACCTGTTCTAATATTTTCTTTTAATTGAAATTCATCTAGGAAATCTTTGGGAAAATAATTTTTCCCTGAACCTTAACACTAGGTTAAGAAATTCATACGGAACATTCATAATTTTTTAATGTTTTATTTATTTATTCATTTTTGAGACAGCATTTCTCACCTGTCACCCGGGCTGGAGTGCAGTGGTTCACTCTAAGCTCACTACAACCTCCACCTCCAGGGCTCAAGCAATCCCACTGCTCAGCCTCCCTAGTAGCTGAGACTATAGGCATGCAGGATCATGCCCAAGTAATTTTCACTTTTTTTTTTTTTTTTAGTAGAGTTGGGGTTTCACCATGTTGGCCAGGATGGTCTCGAACTCCTGACCACAGCTGATACACCCGCCTCAGCCTCCCAAAGTGCTGGGATTACAGACATGAGCCACCATGCCCTGCTGGGACATTTATAATTTAAATGTGATTGTAGCATATACAGCCATCTTTTTAGTTTTAGAGTGTTTCTATTACTGAGATAGGGTATGCCGAGGTATCTTCTAAAACATACTGGGAAACTTGAAGGCTCTGGATCAGACCCAGTTGAAGATAACTCAAACCTCAGAAGTTCTTGCCTGTGACAATGGACATCCATGGATAAGACACAGCTACATTAGTTAAGATCTCAGAATGAAGGATAAAAATCAATGCAGGAGTAATAAATATTAATATTGTTATGTGGTTGACATTATAACAACTTTGCATATTATTGGATACCAACAGAAGTGACTGCCATATGCATAAGGATTTGCATATTTGGAGCAAATGTGAAAAATTACTCACCTGTAAATATCAAAGAATCGGTCATTATCCTGAGTAAATATGTATCTCCCCTAGGAACTTTTAGGTTCACCCCTCCCTTCACCCTCTATAACCTGTATGACCTAAACTTTCTCACTAAAGAGGCAATAGTAATGAACTTCAAGTTACATTGAATTGACTGTGGCAGCCTTGTAGGTGCAAAAGATAACCTTGCAAGAAAAAACATGCTGTGATTATAGCAGTCAGTTGATAGTCACTAGTTACAACACCTTTAGAATTGGCCACAATATTCTAGTCAAAAACATTCTTCCTGGGCTGCTCTGGCTAATGACAGCTAGGAAATGTGCTAGGTTATTTCTGCCCAAAATGGGGTTTCTCTAGTAGGTAGTCTTTGCTCTAGAACTCCCTATTGGCATGGATGGGATTTTCTCACAACTGCATCAGAGACTGAAGCTCTTCCTCTCTAATGTTTCTTCTTTATCCCTGTCTTTTCAGAGGTGTCAAACTTGCATCACATGTTTAAAAACCCTCCCTATTACTACTCCCACTCTCCTTTGACTTTAACTGATTTTTATTCCCCCAAATCTCTTTCGCTTCCAACTTAGATTGAGTATCTGCTTCCCAGTAAAACATGGATTCCCACTGTATATATAACAAATGTCAATGGTATTCAAAATATAGTCTTTTCTGTTTATAAATTATTAAAGAAAAATATAAAGAACATGCGTGAAGTGAAAAAGAAATGTATTAGATTTCTATTGCTGCTATAACAAATTACAAAAAAACTTAATTGCTTAAAAAATACAAATTTATGGCCGGGCGCGGTGGCTCACGCCTGTAATCCCAGCACTTTGGGAGGCCGAGGCGGGCGGATCACGAGGTCAGGAGATCGAGACCATCCTGGCTAACACGGTGAAACCCCGTCTCTACTAAAAATACAAAAAATTAGCCGGGCGTGGTAGCGGGCGCCTGTAGTCCCAGCTACTCGGGAGGCTGAGGCAGGAGAATGGCGTGAACCTGGGAGGCGGAGCTTGCAGTGAGCCGAGATCGCGCCACTGCACTCCAGCCTGGGCGACAGAGCAAGACTCCGTCTCAAAAAAAAAAAAAAAAAAAAAAAAAAAATACAAATTTATTCTCTTAAAATTCTAAAAATCAAAAGTCCAAAATAAGTTTTATGAGGCTAAAATTGAGGTGTTGGCAGGCCTGTTTCCTTTTGGAGGCTCCAGGGAAGAATCCATTTCCTTTTCCTGTTCAGCTTCTAGTGGGCACCTGCATTCTTTGGTTATAGACCCTGCTTCCATCTTCAAAGTACATCACTCCAATTTCTGCTTCTGCCATCACATTGCCTTTTTCTCTTAACTCAATTTTGAAGGCCATTTGTGATTACTTTTAGAGCCAATTTAGATAATCAAGCATAATATACTCATCTAAAGATCCTTTACTTAATCACAACTGCAAAGTTCCTTATGCCATATAAGGTGTATGGGATTAGAATGTAAACATGTTGGGGAAAAGGTGGAGAAGCATTATTCAGCTTACCCCACCAGATATATTATTTTACTAAGAATATCTAGTTTGGGAAGCTTCAAGGACCTGTATCAAACCCAAACTGAAGATAATTCAAACCTCAGAGGTTCTTGCCTGTGACAGTGGGCATCCATGGATGAGGCAAGAAACTGAAGCACAGTTGCAGTGTTAAGTCTCAAAATGAAGGAAGAAAAGCAATACAGAGGCAGTAGATGTTAATGTTAATATAATGTAACAACTATACATTTGAAAAACATTGGCTACTGGTATAAGTGACTTACTTTTTTTCTGATTATTTTGAAAACATAATGTTTAACTAAAAATTATGTAAATTTCTTTAGAAAGTGAATATAAGGTTCTTTGCCACATACCTAATGCCATATGAGCATATTTACAAAGAAGTATATTTAAGTTGAAATTCTATGTAAGATCAGCTTCTTATTAGCAGAAATGCCTACAAAATAAAAATAAAGCAAATGGAAGTTCACCATATTGAGAATTCTGGTAACAAGCACTTAAGAAAAAGATGATTTTAGGAATGAACAATTTAAATTTTTTCTTTTTCATAAGATTATATAATATATATAAATTGCTTTTACATATAGAAAATTATTGAAAGCAGAGGGCATTTGGAGTAATAAATATAACTTCATCCTTCCCACCTCACATTCCCATAATGTTACTTGGTTTCCCCCTGACTTGGATTGAAAATCTGCTACAATAGTTAAATATTAGTATCTGGTCTGATTAAACCACTCTTCAGAAAAGATTAGACAGTTATGGGGATCATATGCAGTTGAAGTAAATTATTCTATTTATTTTGTCTCTGTGAAAACAAAAAACAAAAAAACAAGCAAACAGAACTTTAATCTTTCATTTCTAGTGTCTGGGTTTTGAACAGCTCCCCAAACTGAGTTTTTCAAATAAGCTTAGTCAGATGCTTCAAGGATTAGAGCAGACTATTTTTTAATTTTGTTTTGTTTTATTGGTTGACATTTACTAACATATAATGACTATTGAGTTAACAAGTATGTGAACATTGTGTGGAGGCATGAAATCAGCTTGTTCTTTCACAGACTAATCCCTTTTCTCCTGTGCTCAGTAACATAATAGGCCATAGTTCATAGGTATGCAATACGAGCAAGCATTGTGTAGATGGAATCGATAGCATAATCCTATTAAATTCTGCAAAACAGTTTACTTTATGATATAAAGTGGAATTGTGATTGATTTTTAAAGTAAATAGTAGTTCTATATTCAACTCAGACTAGAATAACTTTTAAAGCAGCACCTTACTTTGTGTGGGACCACAGTTTTTCTTCCATTTTTCTTGATTTTATAAATAAATGTTGCCTATGTGGCCTAACTAAAAGACATTGAATTCTGGCTTGAATTTTTACTTAAAATTGTCTTAGCTTTGGCCCAATGTGTAAATACAGAACTGAATGCTTATTTTTAAGTTTAGCCACTTGTTCTGGAGCACTTTGTAAAAAAACAACAGTTTTTAGACAATGGCGATTCTTTTTCATAAAATTTTTATTCCTTAAGTCCAGAATTATTATAAATATTTAAATAAGTAGTCAGTATTCCACTAGTATACTCCGTTTCAGTATTACTAGTTATTTATACTCACTTTCTTTTCTGATTATTTCTCATTTTGAATAGTTGGATCCAGCATATTAAGTCCTAAATATTTGTATTATCCCCATACAAATACATTTACTGCTGATGCTGAGTTTCTAACACTCACTGAATCTTCCCTATATGATTAAAATCTCAAATTGATTTTAAGACATTAGTTTTAAGGATATGATAATATTCTTAAACATCCATTATATATTGTGAAACTCTTTGAAAACACAAAACGCAATTTGCTCTGAGCAGAATTGCAAGCAGTAAAATAAATTCATTTGTATTAAAACAAATCTAATTGTGTCCATAGAAAAGGAGGCAAAAGAGTTTATAATCTTAACATGATCTCTACTGTCTAGCAAGCCACAGAAGATTTTTCCAAGTATACTTCCAGCTTAAAGTTGACGTCCTCATACTGAAAGAAAAAGTTCACTGAAGTCAATTTTCTCAAAGACAGCTAAAATGCTTGTAAAGAAAGAAATAAAAATCTGTATTGGCTTAAAGTGATGGGCATATGCTTGCTGTCTTTTGAGAAATAAGAGGGATGATTTAACATTGCATAAAAAAAAAGTGCTGAAAATAAGAAGGGGGTTTGTGGTTGACCAGGAATTATAAGGAAACATTTGAAAGACAGAGGAAAATGGATTCAAAACCAGAGAGGTTCCCAACCCAAAGCATGCACAGAAATGCCATGTGCAAAAGATGAAAACAGTTCTTAAAGTACCCTAAACAAAGAAAGGGATAAGTAGAACCTTAGGACTAAAAGTTCAGCCCAACTCCATGTTATATACAAGGCACAATTCTAAAATAAAATGACGTAAGAAGGTGAACGGTCATGGGATCAGCAAATACATAATAATATAAACAACTTTGCCAATGAAATTCCATAACATTAAAATATGCAAAACTTTTTCTAATTAAAAAAGAGGAAAAAACTGAAGAAATAACAGTCACAGGATATGAGCATAGTTTTAAGTCCTTATAGAGCAAACATTAAAAACAATATAAAGTTTTTGCAAACATAAAGAATAGAATAGAGATTTGGGAAATTTAGTGATTAGAGTGGATCTACACCATTTTTATTGGTTGTGATATATTAATAACACCAGAAAAAAAATTAAAATTTTTTTAAGGAAGATATAATAGCAACCATATTTGTATCACAATAGAATAAAAGTCGAAATAAAATAATTTTCTAAACTACTTAAGAAATAAGTCAAAATCCTTATTCACAAAATTATATATAAGCTTAAACCTTAACACAATTTAAAACTTTAAACATTACTGATATCAAATTAGAAGAAAAATAATTTTTTAAAGTCAAGAAATTAGAATAAAACAAGTATATTCTGTTTCAAATTTATTTAATATTTATATACAATTTACAAAATAAATAATGAAGAAAATATATGATAAAATGTAGCCACTTACAAATTTAATGGAAAAATATGAGTTACATGATAATGTAACAAAATGAATATAAAAAGTATTAGTACATTTATATTTATATTAAAAGAAGTGATTATTTTAAGAAAATTCAAATAAAAGATACAGTAGATGTTTTATAATTTGATACTGTAACTAGAACTATTTGACTGGAAGACAAAAGTTATACATTGTCTATGTTGAAAGCAGTGCCTATGTGGTTTATCCTTCCAGGGAGCACATTTATGATGTAACCTATGTAAATGACTGTGCTTTGCCCAACTCTTGAATGCCTTGAGACTCAAGGTGAACACACTCTAGATGAGTGCCATGCGGCTACCCTGGATGCCACAGTGAATAACCAGTAGCCAAGTATCCAGCCAGGTTGTATTAAGGAAAGATCACTGTGGACAAACCTAGAGTACATGTCCACTCTTAATGAATTCTGTAAACTAATTCCCCACTTCTATGTTACTGTTGTAGTGGATTTACTACTACAAAATCCAACACATCAAAAACATAGACCTGCCTATTAGTGCAAAGATCTTTAAAATTCAGTCCTAAAGTTCAACACTTTCTCCAAAACTATGAAGGAAGTGATGAAGGATATTTTTTCTTATTTTAAAAATTTTAAGGCTGGGCACGGTGGCTCACCTCTATAATCCCAGCACTTTGGAAGCCCTAAGTGGGCAGATCACGAGGTCAGGAGATAGAATCTACCCTGGCTATCACGGTGAAAACCCCGTCTCTACTAAAAATACAAAAAAATTAGCCAGGCGTGGTGGTGGGCGCCTGTAGTCCCAGCCACTCGGGAGGATAAGGCAGAAAAATGGGTGTGAACCAGGAAGGCGGAGCGTGCAGTGAGCCAAGTTAGCACCAATGCACTCCAGCCTGGGCAACAGAGAGAGACTCCATCTCAAAAAAAAAAATTAAGAAAACTTCAGCATCTATATTTTATTTATATTAGATAAACTTTATTTATATCAGATAAGCAGTAAGGCTTTTTTTTTTTTTTTAAGCAAGGAACACCTCAGAACAGCCTCGAGTACCTACCGTGGAAGGGTCTTTTGGAAAGTCATGCCATGAGATTTATTCCATATCTGTCAAATGAGGGCATTCGAGTTTTCTATTCAAATGTATGTGTTTACATAGGGCAGCATATCAGAAGCCAACCAAATAGCTGGGGGAGCTAACCTTTTGCCTCTTCCCTTGATTACTTCTCCTCTTTCTCAGCTGCCGTGGTCTCCACTGCACAAGCCCCATGCGGCTCACAGAAGCCAGTAGACAAGGTGACTGCAGTCTCCAAATATTTTGATAATACACTTGTATCCATGAAGATTTTGATATTTTTCTTAAATATGCATTTACTTCTGATATATTTACTTACTTGATTACTTGTTTATATTTAGTTTTTAAAATGAACCAGGGCACTGTCCTCTTTTGTAATTGCAAAACATAGTTTTAATAACATGTAATAATATAGTTTTTAAAGTTAAAATATCAGTGAAGCCATTTAGTCCTAATCTAATACTTAATGTGACATTTTAAATTGCTTTATATGATTATTCTAAGGCATTACATCTATTCAAATTTTCACCTTGTTCCTTATGCATATATAAAACACACTGAAAATTAAGGTATTTCAGAAATACAAGGATGGATTTATACCAGAAAGTCTATTAACAGATGCCAGCACATTTTAAGGGTTATTCAATAATGGTTGTTGAAAGACTTTATCAAATTTGGCAAATATAATTCTTTATAAAACTTTTTTATTTAACAAAATTCTACAGCAAATATTTTATTAAATGTGAAACGATTAAAATGAATTTCATTAACATCAGGAAGTAAACACAGATTCCTAGTTTTGACCATAATTTTTACTTTAAAAAAAAAAAACTTTTAGGTTCAGGAGTACCTGTGCCAACTTTGTTGATACAGGAAAACTCATGTCGTGGGGGTTTGGTATACAGACCATTTTATCACCCAGGTACTAAGCATAATACCTGATAGTTATTTTTCCTGATCTTCTCCCTCTTCCCCCACTTCTCCCTGAAGTAGGCAGCAGTGTCTGTTGTTCCCCTCTTTGTGCCCATTGGTTCTTATTATTTAGCTTTACTTATAAGTGAGAACATGCAGTATTTGGTTTTCTGTTTTTGTGTTAGTTTTCTAAGAATATTGACCTCCAGTTCTATCTATGTTCCTGTAAACAACATGATCACATTCCTTTTTTATAGCTGCATAGTATTCCACAGTGTATATGTACCACATTTTCTTTATCCAGTCTTCCACTGATGGGTATTTAGATTGGTTCTATGTCTTTACTATTGTGAATAATGCTGCAATTAACCTATGTGTGCATGTGGATTTTTACCTTTTTATTTTAAAAATAATTTCATACTTACAGAAAAACAGCAAGATTATTAAAAAGAACTTAATAATGCTTATCTAAATTCACCAATTGTTAACATTTTGCTACATCTGCTTTATTACTTTCTATGTATTCATGTATTTATTACTATTGATTGGTAAATTTAGGAGTAAGTTACCAAATCTCTGAACTAGAAGGATATTCTACTACATGACCGTAGAACAATTAGCAAATTCAGGGAGTTAAATACAGGAAACTTAATAGAATATTATTATATAATACATAGCCCATTGATTCAATTCAGGATAATGCATTCATCATTTTAATCTGTATGAATTACCCAGCCTTTTTTTGTCTTTTATGATATTGACATTTAACATAGTATTGGAGATCAAAGTTGCTATTCTGGATGATCCACAGTTTGGGTTCAACATTATTATTTAATATAGAAGATACTTAATGAAGTAAGAAAATTAAATCAAACAATATGTATTGATATTTAAAAATAAGATAATTTTGCCCATGATTTAATTATATACTTTAAAATTTTTTTAAAAACACTACTCAAAGTAATTGGAAAATTTGGTGGGATTATTAGATACAAAAGAGTCTTTAAAATCAAAACTTTATAAGAAACATCTAAATTGAAAATAAAAAATATTGAATTCTAAATTCCAACAAATACATAAAATGCTTGGGAATAAATTTAACAAAATAGAGAAATAAAAGTATGTATTTCAAATTAAATTTATAAAATAATATTTAAATAAATGTAGAAAACATGCTATTATTGCATGAGAAGACAATATTATTAATAAATTCAATTGTAATTGCAACAGAATTACTTTAAAATTGATTAAAATATTAATGTTAAATGGAAGATTATATATTTAAATATATTAAGGACTATATATTTAAATATATAATATATTAAGGACTATATGTTTAAATATATTAAAAGATGAAGGAGAGAAGAATGGTTTAGGGAAGTTTGTTTTAATAGAATTCAAATTTATAAAAGATTATTATAAATTCAACACATTTCAAAGAATAGTTATGTTGCAGAACTTTCTCCTTGGTTCAGCTAAAACTGTGCTCTTGTCACACAACCAGGAAAGACTAGGCTCACAGACACATAGAAGGGTGAGGAAAACGGAATTTTTTGGTTGAAAGGGAAAAGGAAAAATAACTCTCAGCAAAGCAAGAGAAGGTCCTGCTTCCAAGTTGCCCTCCTCATGGATTGAATCCCAGGTCACCATACAGGAACAGGAGAGGCCAGGCTCCTCCCCTCTGCAAATGGCAGGAACTTCCCGAGGCTCCACCCTGTCCTCCCAGTGTGCAGGTGGGCATTATTCAGAAAGAATCAGTTGGGAAAGAGTGGGCTTCATCTGAGATCAGCAGTCCAGTTTTTCAGCCTTCAGGCTGTTTTAGGCTTGAAGGTGTGGTTTCGTCCAGGACCACTGGCTGCCTCCTGTCTCTATCAGTTATATAGATGTTGATATAGAAAATAATGTATTTTTAATGGTGTCAAAATAACTGACTACTACCTAAAAGTATCTCTCTTACATCATACTCAAAATATGTTCTCTGTGGATTAAAAACTTAAAATGGCAAAAGCACTTACAAAATATAAAAACCTACAAAAAATAAGTAAACAAAATAGCTTCTTAAGAATGGAAGTGTATACATAATATTCTTTAATAAATGATCATTTGACTTAGAAACAGTGTTGTCAAAAGATATCTTGAGCCAATAGATAAATGGTAGATACAGGAAATTTCCAATACACATGGCTAATAATTAAAATACATGTCACACAAAGAACTCTTCCAAGTTAACGAGAAAATAGTATGTAATTCAAATGAAAATGAGTAGTAGATATGAAAATCTAGTTCAGAAAGAAACAAATCCAAATGGCCAAAATTAATAACTAAAGAAGCACCTGTCTGGATCTTTATAGAAAGCATCATTCTACGGCCAGGTGCGGTGGCTCACACCTGTAATCCCAGCACTTTGGGAGGCTGAGGCGGGCGGATCATGAAGTCAGGAGATCGAGACCATCCTGGCTAACACGGTGAAACCCCGTCTCTACTAAAAATACAAAAAATTAGCCAGGCGTGGTGGTGGGCACCTGTAGTCCCAGCTACTCGGGAGGCTGAGGCAGGAGAATGGCGTGAACCCGGGAGGTGGAGCTTGCAGTGAGCCGAGATCGTGCCACTGCACTCCAGCCTGGGCAACAGAGCGAGACTCCATCTCAAAAAAAAAAAAAAAAAAAAAAAGAAAAGAAAAGAAAAGAAAAAAGAAAGCATCATTCTAAGTTTCCAAAACTGTATTTCTGTTTTCATACTTGTGCATAGCATTTTTCTTTTGTTCAATTTATGCTATTTCAGGTTTTTTATTCTTAAAACTGATTTAATTCTAATTTGTTCAAATTTCAGTAATAAATCTAGCATCAGACTCTCTTTGATTCACTGTTAATCAAGTCTGCTTTTTTTCAAGTGTTTGGCCTATGGCTAAGTTAATATTTGTTCAAAATACCACTGAAAAAAGAAACAGCCACAAAAACTGCAGCCCAGATGCATGCCAATGGCAAAAATTGCCAGGGATTGAAAGCATGGTGCAAAAAATAATATCTCATAAATGAATACCTTTCTATTATCTGTGATTTTTATGCTGTTTATATTTACGTGTCACCAGCCACCACACCAAATATTGTTTGAATTATCTGTAAAAATATAACCCAATAATAGAATACTCTGTCTGCAACTTACTGTCAAAATATTCATAAAGCAAAATAGTATGTATAGTAAGTTTTAAATTTATATATATGTGTATACATAATTCCCCTGGACATACGCATGTGAGAGGAAGAAGGGAGAGAGAACAGACATATGTATGGGAGAAGGTATTAACAATGGGTGAGTCTGACTGAAATATATATAGGAGTTTTTAAGTTCTGTACATTTGAAATTATTTAACATAAGAATTAAGAATGAATGTTACTTGCAATATTTTCATTCACATTTCTGTATCTATGGGCTATATATATAGATAATTATTGCACATATTCAACAATGTTCAGTAATCCCAAAATTAAAAATAAGGCTACAGTAAAGTTACTATAAAACGTATTGCATTGTATGATCCGTAGCAAAATTTAGATCAGTTTCTTTTTTATGACTATTAAATAATCTACATTTTTATTCTTACTACCACATCCAAATGTATCAATGAAAGCACTTTATACCAATGAAACTATTTTTTAACAAGAAATTAAAGCAGAAGCAAAGGCAAATTATAGAGAACAAACACTGGCGAGTTAATTCAAGACCTAACAGTTGATTTGTCCTTTACAGTCTTGATCTGTATTTTCCTCTTAGAGGAAAGAGAGTAAAACGAACCACATTTCACAGGCATAGGCATGATGAAGAAGTCTCTGAATATTTGCTTTCAGTAATACATTTCCAAAATTATTATCATAAGTATTTTGCATAGTTATTCCACCTAACAGATCTCTCAGGTATTTATCTGAATGTTTTCCATTGCTGTTTCCTCTGATTCTTTCAAATACATCATCTAAAGAAACATTTTTTTGCAAAGGTGAACTATCACTTCATATTCACTGCCTATTTGGCCTTTATGGAACATTAAAGTTATTTGATATGCTGCAGCTGTAGAAAGATAAACTAGACCACATAGCTTTATTTGTATAAAAATCCTAAATAGCTTTATTATCACTAGATCTTCATAAAGTCACTACAGATATTGAAATAAGGAGCAGATTTTGCTATAAGGTTCTATTTCAGAAGTTACTGGGAAAAAATGCCATATCCTCCCCTTCAGAATATGCAGTTTGGTATAAGACGAAATATTTTAGAGTACTTCAAACTCTTTGTAAACATATTTAAATAATTATTTTTAATTATATTATTTAGTTTTATTAAGTTATTGTTTAGCAATAATTTTATATATGTATGGATAACATTTTGTGGTATTCAAACACATGTATATTTAGTATTTCAAATGATTTTTACAACGCATTTGCAACATTAGCAAAATAAGTCTTTCTTGCAATACCTAGTAACTTATAATCCAAAGTAAAATTTCAAGAGCAATTATTTCAGAGCAATATTCTGACATATTTGAATAGTACAACTAAGTAGCATATTTGACATAACAAATTTTTAAATTAAATATTTCACATTAAATTCCATATTATTTTGAATAATATGAGCAAGATTAAAAATCAAAATATCCCTCATTCTAGGATTTTCACTTCTATAAAATTTTTCTGAAAATATATTGCACTTTTGAATAGTACTCCACCTTCAATTTATTCATTTTGCATTGTTTGTAAGAGAAAATTAATGAAATAAGATAAATAACCATCAGTGAAAGTCTATTTAAATAAATAATGACATATCTATGCCATGGGATATTTTTTCAAATTTAATAAAATAAGGAAGATTAAAGAAAACTAATAAGAAGTAATTTCCATCATATGTTCTTAGGTAAGGCACAGAAGTGGGTGTGTAGCATATTACCATTTTGATATTTATGTAAAATGAGAAGAGATAAAATATTTCTTCTCACTCCTATTGTTTGTATGCATATAAATATAAATAAGTATATCAAGTAACAAATATGTAATTTATATTTACAGTATGTATTGCCTTGTATATTATTAGAGTATCAATGGAAAAATCATAAACAATTTTAATGTGTTATCTACAAGAACTACAGAAGTAGGAGAAAAGCCCTTTAAAATATACTACTTTTTACCTGTTATATCTCAAATAATATATATTACTTATTCAATAAAGACATATATAAACATATGAATTAAAATAAATAACATATTTAAAACTGCTATCTCTATCATGTATTCATATCTGTTTAAATAGAAATAGATTAAGATAGTGTTTGATATAGAAATAGACACATCACAAACTTAATTACTCATACTAAATTAAATTGCCAAATACTACCTATTCAACAGCATAAAAGTGTTCTCTGCTGTCTACTGAACCCACATTTTTAAAAGTCATATATTCAAAGCTAATAGCGAATATACAAATAATGAATGTGATTAAATTTAATTGCCATAATGAATACGTAAATATTTATGAATAGATATAAATAAATAATATACACAATGTAATTTTTGTTTTAATATTTGACATAATTAAGCACATTTTCAAAGCTGAAACTTAATATACAGTTATTTAAAATATTTCACTGCATAAAGTTTTATGGTATTATCAGGCACTAATTTTAATAAATTGGGCAAGAGAAATGAAAGCAAATTACTGGTTTATGCTCTCTAAATCCTAAGTGAACTTGCGGAAATAAAGAAACACCTCAGAGACGTTGCAGGTTCACTTTCAGACCAGTGCAATGAAGTAAGTATTGCAACAAAGCTAGTCACATTAATATTCTGGTTTCCAAATGCATATGAAAGTTGTGTTTACACTATACTGTAGTTCATTAAGTGTACAATAGCATATGTCTAAAAATACAATGTACAATGTTTATACCTTAATTTAAAAATACTTTATCACTAACATACTTTATCTAAAAATCTAAAGCTCAAGGAACTAAATGAGATAAAATATATATTGGCTGGCACTAAGCTAAGCACAAATCATATTTGTTTATCTACATATTTGTATATGCATACTGTATTAATGTGTTCTCACACTGCTAATAAAGACACACCCAAGACTAGGTAATTTAAAAAGGAAAGAGGTTTAATTGACTCACAATTCCACATGCCTGGAGAGGCCTCACAATCATGGTGGAATGCACATTAGGAGCAAAGTCACATCGTACATAGTGACAGGCAAGAGGGCATGTGCAGGGGATCTCCCATGTATAAAACCATCAGATCTCGTGAGACTTATTCACTATCACGAAAACAGCACGAGAAAAACCCACCCTCATGATTCAGTTACTTCCCACTGAGTCACTCCCACGACACGTGGGGATTATTACAATTTAAGGTGAGATTTGGGTGGGGATACAGAGCCAAATCATATCACATATGTACATATATATCATTCTATATATATCTTCCTTTGTATATATATTTTTACACGTTTTATATGTATATATATGTGTGTGTGTATAGTCATAGATGTGACACTTTAAAATGATTAAATGGTGTTAGCGTTAAAATAATTTTGGGAAAATTATATCTTTCCCACTGAAACAGCAGTTCCATAGTCGATTATAATTTCTTCATAAATATAGCACTAAAAAAGAATACTCTTCCAAATATAATACACATGTCATGGAAAAAAGATTTAAAAATTGTACTAATATGAGCAAAACAGCATGAAAGAAAGGCACATTATATTAAAAATCATTTATATAAACTGATGCATTTTGAATGTGAGGAACAATTTTAGTGAATACTAAAAGGGACAAAATATTCTGCAAAAATTAAAGCAAAAGCATCTTTGGAGCAATTCAGACTTGAATATTTAGGAACAATGAAATGCTATGTTTAGCTGACCTGTTAATTCTATTTTCAAATAACTTTCATTTGAAATACCTATGTCCACTTATTTGTACTTAAAAATTATTATCACAGGCATGCACTGACACTAACAGATGCAACGGGCTTCTTATTTCTTATTTTTAGAAGATCTAATTACAATATTGGCTGACAGTTAGCCTCTGCTAATCACAAGTTCATATAATTGAACAAAGCTAATTGAAGTTACCAAACCATGTCAGCATGCTGGCTAATAAAAAGAGGTTGAGACCCCCTTGAAAATTAAGTCAATGGAATTCAAAGTGGCACTACGTCATTAATTAAATTCCAGATTATTTTCTTACTAACAAGTATAAAATGAAGCTACATTTGCTTCTCTTTTTTAATCCTATAAAAATGTGTCTCATAATAATGTTTGGGTAGTGGTAGATTTAACTTTTAGACTTCTTATTTACATTTTTTAATAATCAATAAATAAATAATTTTGATTTTTGTTGATACTCTACCATAAACTGTTTATGATTGATGTATAAAAAACAAGGCAGTGCACATGTTTAAAATCTAAAATTATACCATATTGACATTTTTCCCCATTATATGCAAATATGTTTCTTTCTCCATGTATTTCTCAACAAAATATTTTCGAAACTGTTTTGAAGTTGCTATTATATACACCTAAGTATTTTAAAAATTATTTTGTAATGCATGTTTAACATACTTATGCCTAATAACTGGTGAGAGCTATTTTGACCGAATTTAGGCATCTGTATCCAGTATCCTTTCATTTCCAGTTAATAAAGTTTACTGAGGATGACATGTGGATATAATCTCAGAAGAAGGAAATAGGGATGGCTTTGCAATCTATTGTATTGGAAAATCAATTTCCAATAAGACACTTATTTTTCCATAGGTTTGTTTAACATGGTCATCATGTATATTAGTTAAAAATAGAATCTCTCTCAAATAATAAATCTAATGCATTTTATACTGCCTTACCAATTATCTCGAAAATGTTTTAATCTGTCAGGAAAAAACAATCCCTGTAAAGATGGAGTTTAATTTATTTCGTGCTTTCTAAACAGTGAACTGAAAATTATTCACAGTACATATATATATATATATATATATATACACACACACAGATATAATGTCAGAAAAATTTTGAACTGTATTTTTCCATTTTGAAGATTTTTATTAAAGATTTTAACTGACTTTTGAGTAAGAATAACAAGAGATTTTAATAATAATAATTGTGAAACCCATAGGTCATTTGAAGGTAAAGTCTAGGGTTAGAAATGAGGTGTTTGAGGCTAATTACTCAGGAAGTAAGTCAAGAGGGGGTAACATTCCCCACACGTATTGCCATCAAATAAATGAAGCTGTCTTCAGTTTCCCATCTTTCTCTGAGGTAGTCAATCAATGTTAATTGTTTCATTTTACCACCTGCTAAAGAAGTTGTTTTAGGAAAATGTTTCTCAGTTTCTCCAAAAGATTGTCTTTTTAAATTTTTACATACAGCATTTGAAAGGATAGAGAAGGTAGTTTATCCTGTAGAAATCACTGAACTGGAAAAAGTTTCCAAAGCCATCTTCTGCAAACTAGGTTACAGTTTGAGGCAGATCTCTACCCCATCAAGAAAAATGTGTTGCTGTTAAAGAACTAAGATAGAAACCTAGTTTAAAAGTCACATACAGCTGTGAAGAGATTAAAAGAAATATCAAACACAGTTGGCACAACAATAAATGTAGTATACCTATACACAGTTGGGTGCTAAATCTATTTTATATAACTATAAATTTTTGGTATGGAAAGTAAATTATAAGTGAGTATGTCAAAGGAAACCACAAGTACTATAATTCTAGTTCATGGGAACTGGGTAAAAAGAATGCTTATTATCTGCTTAAAATATTAAAATAAACAAAAGATAAAAATGAGTGGCATCAATGATTACTAACTCTAGAATTCTGAATAATTCCAATTAACTTGATGTTATAAAGGTCAAACTTCTTGCTTGAAAAATAAACTTTGTGTTTCTTGAACAAGCTTACAACAAACTCCAAATAACCTCTCATAAGCGTTTTTAAACGTCTATAATGCTCCTGGGAAATATGCAAAAACAAATGAATAAAAAAATAAAAACCTGCCCTAGAGTTTCTAATAGAGCTCCTAATGCAGCTCACTGACTAATGTAGAGTGTCACAGGTTAAACTGTGTCCCCACAAAGTTCATATGGTGAAGTCTTAACCCCCATGAACTCAAAATGTGACCTTATTTGTAGGTAAGGTCTTTACAGAGATAATCAAGTTTAAGTGAGGTTGTTAGGATGAACCCTAATCCAATATGACTTGTCCTTATTAGATAGGGAACATTTATAGAGCAACATGCACATACAAGGAAAACACCCTGTGAACGTGAAGGTGGCCATCTACAAGCCAACAAGAGAGTCTTGGAATAATTTCTTCCCTCACAACCTTCAAAAACTCCAAACCTGCCAAATCCTTGATTTCAGACTTGTAGCTTCCAGAACTGTGAGACAATACATTTCTATTGTGTATGTTACCCAGTTTATGTTTGTTATTGAAGCCCTAGAGAACTAATACAGAGAAAGCATATTAAAATACAAAATAATAAGATATTTATTATATCAGATGGTGAAAAATTAATTATAAATTGTATCACATAGCGTATTTTGAGCCTCATCTTGTAAATTTCTCTCCATCTTTTGAAGGACAGATCAAATATCAGAGCTCCCATCAAATTCTTCTAAATTTTTTTCCATTCTTTTCCCTCCATTGTTTGTGCTTTTCTAATGGAACTCATTGTTATTGACATTAGTCATTCTTCCATGTCTTTTCTCCCCAGAAATATGTGAATAGCTGAGGGTATATACAATGTGTAATTACATCTTTATATCTTTTATTGACCTTAGTAGAATGTATTACCATAATATGTGTATAATTTATTTATATAATAAATTTGCTCCAACCATACCAGATCTCCCTTTTCAGTTAAAACTCAATTTCATCATGGAAAATTATGCCACTATTTATATAAAGTTGTTTATTACTGTCTTCTTAAAATATATACTTGTTTAAAATGTTGTCTAGTATGCTTTAAAATGCTAATTAGAGATTTTAATAAAATGCACAAATCTCAGACTTTCATTTATGGGAGCTATAAATTATGCTCTAAACATATTAATTTACTTCTAATTACTGTGATCACCATGATTTCTATATGGTTAATTTTAAAAGTGGATAATGCAAAATAACTCTTTAAGTATTTTAATCAATATGTGCCTGGAAGATACTGTTAGCTATTTAAATGTACCCAGTCCTGTTCCTTTTCTTTTCCCTGGAAAAAAAGATCCAAGTTTAGCTTCGGAATCATGCAATACCTCTACAATCTATAATAGTGAGTATTTATCTGAGCTAACCATCTTCCATTATTTTTTACAGAGATATGCAGATTGATTTAGCAATTCATTCAACAAGTATTTATTATACACTTGACTATGTGCTTGGCTTGGGATACAGCAAACATCCCTGGCCTCATTCTGTCCTTGTCCTTACTACATTCTAGTTAGGAAAGAAAGCAATAAACAGAAAAAACAAGTATCTTAGTAATTACCATTCATAAATAGGGGTATTATCTATTTAAAAAGTTAAGTAGAGAAGTAGGATAGGAAATGTAGGTGAGACCAGCTGTTTTGAAACTGTAGATAGGATATGAATGGCCAAGAAAGGCCTCTGTGAAAGAACTGTTTGGGTAAGATCTGAAGAAGTGAGGCAGCAAGCAGTGTGACTATTTAGGGGGCAATGGCTTTAGGAAGAAGACATTCCTAGACAGTAGGATTTCTTGGCATGTTGGAGGATTAACAAGGAGGCAGAATCAATGAGGGATAGAATGGTAGAAAATTAGGCTCTTTAGGTAATGTTGGGCAGAAGAACAAGTAATGTTTGTATAATGCTTTATTAGCTGTTTAAAGACTTTTTGTTTTGCTTTGTTTTAATGAGTCAAGAATCCTTGGTAGGGCATGGAACAGTGGGCTTATATGGTCTGATTTAGGTTTTTACCGGGACCACCCTGGCTGCTTTGTTAAAAATAGACTAAAGAGGGCAGGATTGGAAGCAGAGAGAACAGAGATATTGATTGTTTGAATAGGAATAATAAAAGTAGAGGTAAAGAGAAATATTAAATTCTGCATATATTTTTAAGTCAATTGCAATGTGATGTGGAAAGGACACAATATGAAAAAGAAATCACTGATAACTCTGAATTTTATGCCTGTACAATTGGAAAAATAAAGTTGCAATTTATTGAAATGGGAATATTGTGAAGGTAGATGGCATTGCAGTGAATATCAAATCAAATGAAACATATAAAACTTGACACAATTATTAGCCATACAAAATGGGATGTCTAACAGAAAACTGGATATGTAAATCTAGATTAAGTGGGGAGTTACAATTTAAAGTTACTGGTGTGTGGAAGAATATTTTAAGCCATGACGTTAGATAAGATCACCTACTGAATTTGTTCATGGAGAAAAATATAAAAGATGCAAGAGCTGAGTCCTGGATACTCTGAATGCTTAACAATCAGAGAGATGAGGAAGAACCAACATAGCCAAATAAGAAGCTGATATGGTTTGGCTGTGTCCTCATCCAAATCTCAACTTGAATTGTATCCCCCAGAATTCCCATGTGTTGTGGGAGAGATCCAGGAGGAGGTAATTGAATCATGGGGGTTGGTCTTTCCTGTGCTATTCTTGTGACAGTGAATAAGTCTCACAAGATCTGATGGGTTTATGAGGGGTTTCCACTTTTGCTTCTTCCTCATTTTTCTCTTGCCGCCACCATGTAAGAAGTGCCTTTCACCTCCCACCATGATTCTGTGGCCTCCCAGCCAAGTGGAACTGTAAGTCCAATTAAAACTCTTTTTCTTCCCAATCTTGGGTATGTCTTTATCAGCAGCATGAAAGCTGATTAATACAGAAGGAATAGCCTCAATGATAGAAGATAAAGCAAGAGAGTGTGGTGTATTAGAAGCCAGAGGAAGAAAACGTCTTCGATGTGAAAGAGTCATCCCTACTTTTAAATATTGTTAATAAATCCATTAAAGGGAAAAGATCCAAAATCATTGGATTTGCTGTTGTGAAGATCATTGATTTCAGAACAAAAACAGTTCTGGCATCATGGTGGAGTGAATGCCTGAGTGGAATGGCTTCAACAGGAAATGACAGGAGTGAAAATAGAGGCAGTGAATATAGATGAAGACTTTAGGAGATTTACTCAAGGAGACAAATGGAGCTGTTAGTGGTATAAGTGGGTTTACAAAAGAAAAAATAAGCATTTTTATAAGCTTGAATTTTTTGGGGATTTGTTTTTGTTTTTCTAGATGGGTAAAGTGACTTTTTGTTATTGGGGAAAATCTTGGGGAGAACATATATGGATGATGCAAAAAACAACAGTACCCTCCTGAGGTCATGCCCTACTGAGTAGGTGAGAAAGTTGAGACCTATAAATGGAGGATCTGGCTTTAGCTAGGAGAAGAGATGACTCATACACAACAAAACATTGAAGATATACTATATTGGCACAGTGGGTGGAAAATATGATGGAGAAAGCTGTATTCCTTGTGTTTGGCTTTCCCATAAGGTAAGAAGAGAGATCATCAGCCCAGAGGGAAGATGGAGAGGAGACGAGGAAAGTTAGAATAAAGATAGGAAGTTATGAACTGGTCATTGATAACAGCAGAGTACTAAGAGCATAGAGAAATACAGTAAAATTTCTGGGAAATTTTAGTTATTTAGATTTTAGTAATATAATATTTATTTTAAATAAATATTAAAGTGACATTTTTACTGTTGCTTTGAGCTTTATCTAGCCACCTCCCTCTACTAGGTACTGAGAAGAAGTAGTGTGAAGCATGTTCACTGTGCACTGGTTACCAAAACATGTCTTTGAACATTCAGACAAAATGCAGTCATATACAACAAATTACATGAAACTGATTTATAGTATCACTTACATGTAGGCAGCATGAGACAACAGAAGCCTAAGATTCAGGGAAAACTTGTCTCCCAAAGATCTGGAAAATCCTCTGCACAGATGGAGTTTCAACTGAGCATGCCCCACTTGTCACACAGCAGAGAGATTCCAGAAAGCAGCCTGCCCTGGGTTATGCAATTCTCTGAACTACAGGGTTGAAGGACATTGTGTTTCTGGAAGGGGTGGGGGAAGGGACTGGAACACAACCTAGGCTGTTCTGGCCAGTTCCTCTTATCTCGGGATGTTGTACTCCCAACACAGTCTATAGTTATTTTTGAGAACCACAAGCCAGGAAGCAAGGGAGAACTGGATGGGCCAAAGCCACTTGGAGAACTGTCTTGCAAGTAGGTGAAGAGTTCCTTCGAACCACGGATATGATGGATTCAAGGAAATAAAAACTATAGAAAGTCAAGAAAGATGATGGTAACTTCAAGGGAGAGCTAATGGTTTTCCTAGAAATTTAAGATGGGTAAATAGAAAAGTGAGAACATACAGGGAGTAATGAACAATGATCCGCTGCCAGATCAGCGGATTGAAGGTGCTGGTGAGATTGAAGTATTATTTTAATCTTTAGCAATCTTTCAAATCTTTTGCTATTAGAATACTACAGCCAAGGAGCTAAAATGATTGGTGGTAATGGTGAGAGTTTGAGATGTTTGACACTGAAATGATGGAAAGGTTGTTGTTGAAAATGACGAATTTGAGTTTAAGATGATGGCAGTGAGTGGACAAATTGAATATCAAAGAAGGCATGATGGGTTTGCTAAAACTCCTTTTATTAGGGAGCAGTTAAAAATGGCCTAACCTAGAAGCACAGTGGCCTCTGAAAATATGATAAATTTTTAAAATTTTTTCATAAAGTTGTTCTTAAAACTCCCTTGTTATTTAGTTATATGTAGAAGCCTCTCTGTTGTCTGCTATTTTATCTCAGATATAGAAAATTTGTACTCCTTTTCTATTCTTTCCTAGCTCAATTCCATGATGGATATATCAATTTCACTTGGTTTTTGAAAGAATTAATAATTGATTAGTTCTCTATTTTATATTGTTTATTCACTATGTAATTTTCTACTTTATTTTCTTCTAATTATGTAAATTTTGATGAACTGTTTCTAATTTCTTGAGAAGAATATCTGATTTTCAATAAATTATCACAGGAATTATCTATGTAGGCTTTTAAGATTTCCTGTTTAAAATAAATTTATAGATGTAAGCTATTTTGTCAAAAGGCATGCCTTTGTACATTTTGACATATTGTAAATATATTCTTAAATTGTCCTGCAGAAGTGACATTGCTTTTTCTGTATCTCAGAAATACCGTGTAAATCATTATTGAAAAAATAAAAATATTTGCCAATATGATAAATGTCAATGAAGTTATATTATCTATTTAATTGTATCTGAGGTGCAATATTTATTATGTTATGGCAATTTTATATCATTTTATAAATTATTTCTTTCTCTTTTCACTGTTATCCTTTGAGTTGTTCATTAATTTCATTGTTTTGGAAGGCATTTTTATTGATAAAGAATATTCTTCTTCATATACATCACATGTATGTTCTTCCAGTTAGCCATTTACATTTTAATATTATTTATGGTATTTTAATACATCAAATTAAAAAAAAAGTAACCTAATATTTCAATATTATTTATCTTTTCTGTTTTATACCTTTAAACTTATAGTTAAGAGATGATTTTCCATCCACCTCCCAAAATATATACTAGATAAATAGTAACCTACATATTTGTGATAAAATAGATTTTAGAACATTTGAAGTTTTAATTCATTTATTATGTCACATAGTTGTATAATCACAATAAATATCCCATATTTTCCTTATGTATGTTCCTTTCACAGTCCATGAATTGAGAGAAAAGTTGAAAAATGTTCATTAATTTAGAAAGAGAGGAGATGAATAAAAACTACCTTTCTAAAAGTAAATATTTATGTGCATCTTCTTACTTGTTCAGATCTAGCATCAGTACTATACCTAGATGTATAATATATGGATGTAATTTCTTAGTAATCACTATTATTACTAGTATCACTTGTACTGGAAGCACAACGGCCTTTGAAATTATGTTAAATTTTAAAATTTGGTCATAAGGTTGTTTTTAAAGTTCTCTTGTTATGTAGTTATTTGTAGAATCCATTCTGTTGTCTGCTTTTTTATCTGTTATTATTATTACTTATTATCACTCCCCGAGAATAATAAAAATACATGTAAAACCTAAACACAATCATACATATTATTTATAAGTAGAGAACTATAGATATTTAGTTCAATTTAAGACAGAGAAGTCCAGAAACTAATGAATGATAAACTAGTTTAGTCAATATTCACTATAAAAAGTATAAAGTCTATGTGATTTTGAGAAAATATTTTCTGGTTTGCTTTTTGCTTTTAATATGTTTAAACAAATTCATTTTTAAAATATTAAAATATGCTTAGATTATTATAGATGTGCTTACTAGCTAAATTATTTTTATGTGTCCTTCACATTGTCTGCTAAATCATTATTAAATTATTCTATGTTTATGAGAAACTTACTATTAAATTATAGAAGGAGGAAAAAACTAAGTATAAAATAAGGAGCTGAGATAACCTCATTTTAAAAGAAAACCTTATTTATTCAGGGCAGACTAGACTTGTAAAACTCTGAGTTTTATCAATTGCCTCGTCTTCAATTTGGGGAAATCATATTATAAGAAAAACAGCAACAATTCTTTTTATACAATATTGTACATTGGAAACTATTTCATGAAACTAAAGACCAGTTGTTACACTCAAAATTAAGGAGATACTTTTTTTATAAATTTAGAATTGTATCTAGTTCTGCAAATTATTTTGCTGTATTACAAATGCACAAAATTGCAAATAACTTTTGCATAAATCAGCATAATCTTGACATGAAAGAAATGCAGTCATTGGGCCTAAATCTAACAAAAATAAATGTTAAGGCATAGTTGCAAATGAAAATTAAAAATTATAAGATGAAGGACTTAAAAAGAAAATCTTACCCATATATTCACCAAATTCAAAATTTTATCAGCAATTCATTAGGAAATTCTCCTATAAAATGACTTTTTATCTCTACCACTCCACTGAACATATATCATCAATGATACCCTAGTTTTCAAATAAAATTAACTGTTACTGGACTTATTTATAACATATCTCAATATTGGTTATGGGAATGTTTTTTAAAAAGTTTCCCTTTGCTTCTGAGATATCATTATCCCTAGTTCTTCTCCTATCCTTCTAACAATTATTTTGAGTTGCTTCACAATTTTCTTTCCATTGTCACCTGGAATCACATGGTTAATAAATGAAAGAAGGAGGCTACAACTTAATATTATAAATTCCAAACCCATAATTTTCCCCCTGGTCTAAATTGGCATGATAAACAGCTATTGTTTCTATTTCTTTCTCTGTGTCATAGTTGTCATCACATTAATGCAAGCCATTTATTCATTTATTTAAATAGTGCTCACTGAAGACCTATTATGCAACTGATATTGTTCTAAGTATTACGGATGTATTAGCGAACTATGCAAACAAAAATCCTTGGACTCCTGGAATTTATATTCTAGCAGTTAGAAAGACAATGAATAATAGACATAGTAATAGATAATGTATGCTGCATGGAAGAGATGGTTTCTGTTGTGGGAAAAACACAAACTGGCAAAAAGAGTGATTGGCGAAGGAGTTACAATTCTTAGTGATCAGGGGGAGGCTCCCTTGAGATGATTGACTCCTGAAAAAAGACTTACAGGATAAGAGAAAGTTAATGAACATATCTAATGAAAAAAACTTTCCAGGCATTAGAAAGAACTGATCAAAAGCGCTAAGACCAAGAATCCCTGATGCATTTAAGAAATAACATGGAGGTCAGTGTGTTTGAAACAGAATGAGCAAGAATAATTCACAGTTTGGGGGCTAATTATGTAGGACCTAGGAGGCCATTGCAAAACTTACAATTTTATTCTAAGTGAAAGAAAAGGTCTTAGAATGATTTTGAGGATGTATAATTAACATTTTAAATGAATCATTCTGGCTACTGTGTTGAGAATACAATGTAGAGGGGCAAGGATGGAGGCAGAGAGACAACAAAGGGGGTCTTCAAGTAATCAAAATGAGATGTTGCTGCTCAGAAGACGCTGGTAGCAGTGGCATGTGAGATGTCATCAGATTCTGGGTATACTTTGATTAGAGAATTAAAGTATATGTAAATGTAAGAAATATTATAGGACAATTCCAAATTAATGTTTTTCTGAGAAACAATGAGGGATTTAGGATCAGCTGAGACAGAAAACTGCATCTGGAGGAGGTATTTTAGCTAGAGTATGGGGAGAAAACGCAGAGTTCAGTTTTTGACGTGGTATGAGATAGCTATTATATAACCATGAGGAAGCACAGATGAGGCAATTACATATAGGAGTCTGAAGTTCAGCATAAATGTCTGGATACACGTGATATCATTCTTTAAGATCAGATGAGGTCATGTTCTGAGTGTAAACAGAAAAGATAGATAGAGAAGAGAATCAAAACCTGAGACTGGGACATGCCCTCATTATTTCTCATTCAAACTATAGAACATCTCCTAACTCTTCATGACTTTAATTCCTATCACAACTAATCTAATCTCTCTACAATTATTATGATTATTTTTGTACAACACAAATGTTATTGTACACCCCCCACTAAGAGAGAATAAGAAAAAACAAGTACAAAATTGAACCTTGATGCATAAGATGCTTACGATCCCAAGCCATGTTAATCTAATGTCTTGCCTTCTTATCCTTCTCTTCCCATACCATTCACCTGTACTTCAGTCATATCACACATACCAGAAATATCTCATATTCCTATTTCTACACATGCTATTCTATCTTAGAATGTCCTTGCTAAGAGCTGATTCAATAATAAACTGTTCTTTCATGATTCAAGTGTCACCACTTTTTGGTACATTTCCCTGACATCAGTAAATAAATTTGTTCTTAAGTTCTCCTATTTTAATGAGAATTACATGTAGTATCTTAGTAAAAAATTGCATGTCTATGTTTCCATTGTCCTAAGAATTTATTTAAGATAAATTCTATATTGATTTAAATCTATCTTGAGCATCCAAAATAGCACACATAATATGCTAGACACAGACTGAATAAAATAATAGTTAATAAGAAAACATTACATTATTGGAGTACGTATTAGTAGTCAAATTGAAATTGCACAGAACTTGGTTATAAATATATCTGCTTATTTTTGTCACATGATGTAATAGCAAATATCATAAATATCTATGACTAGGAATGTGTACATTTTATTGAATCCATATACAAAGATTTTATTATCTCTTTGGGTAGTGAACCAGCAAAAGTAATCTGGGACTATGCTCATGCTGGAAGAACTACCTGGTAACAGATGTAATATATCAGGAATGACTGATATAGTGAACTACATTTTTCTAAATTTCAAGAATTAAAAGGAACATAGACTCAAATGAATAGACTGATTCAATATAAGACAAAAAAACATCAGTCTATGTCAAAGAAAGTCTTTACTACAAAGCTATTTTCATCAGGTCATTTTTAAATGACAAAATAAAATTTATCATTTGAAAAATAATGGCATAAACAATAACTTTATTCTAACTGAGGATACTGTTTTCAAATTGTTCCTGATTAACCATGGTGGGGACTATTTGAAGAGACCAAAACAATCAATTTATTTGACAAGAGCTATGAGTACTATAAAGTATTTGACAATACATTTTGATATATTCAAAACTGTAGACGGATATAATAGCATTGCAAGGATCTGAGATGAGTTATTTCCTTTTAAAACATTTTTATATGCCATGTTCTACAAACACAAAAAATAATTTACCAAGAAAAAGTGTCAGTGATTTATCAGACCCAGTGACCACCAATGCTTTCCAATATTACTTTTTATTTTTTGGGAAAAGTACTTGAGTTGTTGTTATTGCATCAACTTTACTATATTGCATAAAATCATTGTTAAATGACTTTCAATAAGTGGCAGAATATCAACTAGTTGTTTTTTAAGTCTCACGAAGGTCTTATCCATTCCTTCCTTTCTTCCCTGCCTTCCTTCCATCATTCATCACATACATACTGAACATAGAATTTAGAATGCTCTTGGGTATGTAAACAAAATAGATGGCACAGTCCCACTTTGGTGAGGTAATAACATACTTAAATATAAGGAAAAATATAAAAACACATTATAAGACAAAAGTCCTATAGTTAGGTACATAACAAGGATCATAGGACAAATATATTCAATGAGCTACCAATTTCAGTAAACGTGGAGATCAATGTAGGATTAAATAGCAGTAAAGTCTTAATGGAAAATAAGAATTATATATGCTCTTGAATAATTGGTAAGATTTCTATATGAAGAAAGAGTATACCACACTAGGCAAAAGAAATTTGGAAGGTACATGTTTAAGTATAGTCATGCACCACATAACACTTCAGTCAAGAGTGGACTGTATATACCATGGTGGTTTCATAAGACAATAATAATGTTGAAAAATTCCCCTCGCCTAGTGACATGGCTATTATAACATCAAAGCACAACACACTATCTTTTCTATATTCAGATATGCTTAGATTACAGAAATACCATTGTGTTAAAACTGCCTACGGTATGCCATACAGTAACAAATATGAAACATTTTAGCATATAGGTGAAGGTAAAAAATGCACAGTAAAAGATTTTTTTTTCAAAGGGGAAAATCAATTAAGGTTTGAAGAAAGGAGAGATAATCATCATCTTTAATTTGAGAATAAAAGATGTTAGACAAAACAAAGTAAAAGAGCAAGTTTTTTGAGGTATGCATATTTTGAAAAATTGTTCAGGTGTGTATAGTGTTGAAAACAATATTCAAAAATTATCTGTCTTTGAGTCATATGTTTTATGAAAAAAAAGGTCTTTCCAAAAAGGTAATTAAAGAAATATTAGGTCAGAAATATCCTTTTTTGGTATAAAGCAGTTTTCCTTTTCTGTGCAACTTTTTTATTTAATAGTAATAATAATAATAATTATTATTTGAGATGAGATTTCACTCTATCACTCAGTCTGGAGTGCAGTGGCGTGATCTTGGCCTCCCAGGCTCAAGCAATCCTCCCATCTTAGCCTCCCGGTTGGCTGAGACTACAGGTGCACATCGCCACGCCTAGCTATTAATAATTTTTCTATGTTTTCTTTGTAGAGACAGGGTTTTGCCATGTTGCCCAGGCTGGTCTCGAACTCCTGGACTCAAGCGATCCACCCACCTCAGCTTCCCAAAGTGCTGAGATTATAGGCATGAGCCACCATGTCCAGTCTTATTTTAAATTATATCTGAGTCTTTGAAATTGGGTTTTCTAATTTAGCTTTTTATTTACTTTGAATCTACTTACTTTGTTTGTTCTATTGCCTGAAGTTTCTAGTATTTAAGTTAACCTAAATTTACTGTCCCTAAGATATGCTAAATTGAGTTTCAATCTCTCTTCTATTATTGCTTTGGTATTATTGCCTTCAGTTGATAAAAATCAATTAAATTCACTTCAAAATGAAAGAAAATTTCATCTTGCAGTATCACATCAGGAAACCAATTTTTGATAAATAGTATTCACCTCACAATGTTGATCAAGGCAGAATATCTAACTGCTAAGAACAGAATAATATTTGTCAGGAAATTGATGTTCTCAGTAGAAAGCAAACAAACAAGACCCATGAATTTGCATACAATAATAAGGTATAACCATATACCTTTGCAATTATTTTAATCTTCTCTATAGATATCAACTTGGGGTATTATCAATATTCTTGACTTTTTTTACTCTACCCATTGATGATTTGTGCTTATACATGAGGTATAAATCCCAAAATACATGGTGTTAGGTTCTACTCTTCATCTTTTTCCTCCTACTCCTTCTTTTACAATTTTGTTAGATGATCATTTTAAAACATTTTTATACTTTCTACTTTTTAACTGTTACTTTCCTTTTTGGGTATTCACTAAATTTTATTTTTTAATCTTTCTATTTTAAAATCAATTTTATTACATTTTTAATTTCCAAAGATGTTCCTTTTCTGTAGCATGGGTTGTACCTTCTCTTTTTTAAATCACTCTCAAAATAATAATTATTGTTAATTTTAATATTGTTTTTGTTGTCTCCCCTATATTGCTCTCTTTCTTTAAAATCACTTTCATAGCTTTCTTCAGTTCCATTCAGCAGATCTTCTCACATGTCTGTGGAATCTTTATTTACTATTTGCATTTAAGAATGATGCCTTAAAAAGCAGTTGGAAATTCTTCCATGTAACAGAGATTCTCAATGACAGATGCACAGTTAGAGACTGCATTAGTCAGCTTGGGCTGCCATAACAAAAAACATAGACTGAGAGGCTTCAACAACAGAAATTTATTTCCTGACAGTTCTGAAAGCCACAAGTCCAAGATCAAGATTTCCAGCGAGAGCTCTCTTCCTGGCATGCAGGCAGGCAGCCACCTTCTAACTATGTCCTCAAATGGCCTTTTCTTGGTACATGTACAGTGTGAGAGAGAGAGACTGCTCTTGTGTCTTTATAATAACACTAATCCTATTGGATCAAGGGTCCACCACTGTGATGTCATTGAACATTAATTACTTCTTTAGAGGCCCCATTTCAAAAAACAGCCGCATTAGAAAGGGCTTCAATATCTAAATTTTGACAGAACACAATGCATTCTAAAAAAGAAGATCAAGCATAACGTGAAATTACATTTGGAAATTCCCAAAAGACACTTTTTCAAAATTTCAATAGCTTTTTGGAGAACAGGTGGTGTTTGGTTACATGAATAAGTTCTTTAGTGGTGGTTTCTGACATTTTGGTGCACCCATCACTCGAGCAGTGTACACTGTATACATTGTGTAGTCTTTTATTCCTCAACCTCCTCCTACCCTTTCCCCCGAGTCCCCAAAGTCCACTGTATCATTCTTATGCCCCAAAGGCCACTTTTAAAAGAAGGTTTTTATTGAGACAATTCATTTCCTTAGTGAAAAATAATCATATTTAACTGGGATGATTATCTGCTTGGCTAATGTTTTTCTGATGGCTAAATAGGGGACAGGTCCTGGGTTGAGGTTGGCAGTGGGAGTAAGTCCTACAGTTCAGAAACTAGAAAATATTAACTATAGGTATTTTTTTCCTCAGGTATTCACTTGAAGAAAAAAATATTTCTGTAACTCATTATGAGGCACTTAGCTTTCCTGTTGTTATTTAGAAAATTAACACTCCTACTTTTTACTAGGTAATAACACATAAGTCAGAGAAGGAATATGATAATGAACAATTATCTTTATTAAGTACATTTCTGATGAAGATGTATAGGGTACAAAATGATTAAATGGGTTAAAATTCAAAATCTCTGCCAATTACTATTACCATCACCACTCTTTACATAGATTACTGTTTGAAATTTTAATTTTCCAAGTAATATTAAATACTTAATGTCAAAAATATAATGGTAGACACAATATTTTATTTCATGAAGAAACACTGGATATGACACTTAATTTAAAGGAACTTGAGAGCAGATCTGTGAAAAAAATCACTATATCTTAGAGTTTAGCATCAAATTATTTAGTGAATGTCAAGTGTTATTGAAAGTATACGCAGAATGGGAATATGTAATGAAACATTTTTATTATATAAAGTAAACATAAGAGAAAAAAGGTGCTATGTTGAAAACCAACTAAATTTGCTAAACATATAATGAAAAAGAGAATAAATCATCCAGGAAAATAAGGTAACAATTATCTTTCTTACAACTGAAACAACTGAGATAGTGAAGTTTCCTCATACGTTTGCTGAAAAATAATTTCTGGAATAGTCTTCTATTTGAAAAAAAGTCATTTTAGAGGTAAAAAATGAAATTTTGTGAAATGCATGCTTTTATAACATTTATCTATTTTGTATGCTTTCTTGTGAAACAACTGTAAGATAATTTTGAGCAAAATAAGAGATTAAACTAAGAAAAACAGGAAGATATGAGGTCAGAAAACAGAAGGTCAATCACAGAAGTGAGAGGTAAAACTATTTGCTGGAATGAGGGTGACAATAATGTTAAGATGACATTTCTGTAGCAGGTGCAATAAGTCATACTTGACCAGGAAGATGGTGAATTCCAAGGAAGTTATATTTAGTGGTGGGCTGGTGAATGCTTATTAACTTACAATCCAGGGGGAAAAACCCCTAAAATGAATGACCCATTTTGGAACATTTTCTAATATCTATGCTGTAAATATTTCTAGCAGGGAAGAAAACATATCATAGAACTGCTGATTTTGGAAGAAATACACACAATCAGCTCCCAATATCTAGTTAAACCCAGCTTCAGCACACCACTTATATCCAAGAAAAAAAATCTCATCAAATAAATTATCTCATCCATTTGATTGTTAAGTGAAGTGCTTCGTATTCCATCAGTGTTTGAGGGTGAACTGATTATATACATATAGGAAGCTAAACAAATGTTAGAGCAAGGTGGCTTTAATTCCAGGAAGGCCAACAAGTAAATTAACAATTCAGGGAAGTAAATGCAATAAATAAGTACTGAAGTAAAAAAAAGTATTATAAGAAACAGCTGAACTAATTAAAAGTAGTTAACTTTAGGAAATAAGAGGCAGAGCAGAGAATATAATTTCCTCCTATAAGCATTGTAGTGCAATTTTAATTTTAATCTAAATGTATTTTTGATAAATTTTAAATAAAACTTAAAATTCAATAAACACCAAATTGTTTATTGTTTTAAAATAGGAATGTAACTGTTTAAAGAATGTTCTTTTATTTTAAAAATATTATTCAAGTTGTTAAAAATGTGTGCAAATAGGAATGCCATCAGCAGCAGGGCAGAATAGGAATCCCTGGACCCTCCTTCCCTCTACATACAAATTGCACCATCATACATGGACATATTTCTTTTTTAAGAAATCTAGAAGCTAGTTAAGAGGCTTCTGTACCCTGGATGAGTGTGAAACCAGCCACATTGAAGCTGGTAGGAAAATTCATGTTACTTTCTTGCCATATTCTCTACCCTTAGCACAGTTCCATAAAACAGGGACAAATCCTGTCACCTCTCAACTGCTTTTTGGGGAAGGAAAGAGGTACGAAGAAAGTTCAACACCCCAAATATTCCAGGGGCTACCCAGAGAACTGGTTTCTATCTAGGACTGACAGTACACACACACTGCATACTCCAGGAACTCAGGGCCAATGAGAACAGAGATGGTGGTTTGGGGCTGGCAGTCACCATGGCCACTCCCCCAGATTCAGCATACATCAGACAAATGAAAAACCCCAGATATCAGTTTCTACCTGGGAAGAAAATAAGATTCACCACAAATCTAACAACCCAACTTTTCTGGAGGCTGCCCGAGAAACTGATTTCAGTCTTGCCTGTCTCTGAACACTGTTGAGACTCAGGACAACTCTAGATGCCTGTGGGCCACTAAAAACAAAGAAAGTTGGTTGCACTGGCAAAAGTTTGAGAAACCTTCAGAATGTCTAGCCAGGGTGACTGGTGAAGTCTTTACCAATATAAGCACAATCTGTAAAGCATAGGAGAGATGATATTTTGTCTAATGCACAAACAGCAACACAGAAAGTTCAAAAAAATGAAAAAAAAGGAAAATATTTTCCAAATAAAGAAACAAGATAAATATCTAAAAACTGACCTGAATGAAATGGAGATAAATAATGTACCTGACAAAGAATTCAAACTAACCATCAAAAGATGCTCATTGAGTTCAGTAGATCAATGAGTAAACAAAGTGAGGATTTTAAAAAAGAGATGGAAAATTTTTTGAAAGTGCTAAACAAAGAGAACATGGAGCTGAAGAATACAATAACTGAAAATTTAACTAGAAGGATTCTACAACAGGCTATATTAAGAAAGCAAAAGAAAGAATCAGCAAACTTGATGACAGGTCACTGAACATTATTCATTTAGAGAAGCAGAAGTAAGAAGAAATGAAGAAAGCCTAAAGTACTTATGGGACATGATCAAGTGGATCAATGTATGCATTATGCCTGTTCCAAAAATATAAAATAAAGAGAAAGAACCAGAAGGCATATTCTAATAAATAATGTCTGAAAATGTACCAAATCTGGGAGAATAGAATAGACATTTAAATCTAGCAAGCCTGAAAGACCCCAAATAAGGAATCCAAACAAGTTCAAAATGAGAAACATGAAATCAAATTGTCAAAAGTGAAAGGCAAAGAGAATTTTGAAAGCAACTAGTGAAAGGCAACTTGTCACATAACAGAGCATTCTCATAATACTCTCAGTGGACTTTTCTGCAGAAACCATGTAGGCCATAAGGAAGCAAGATGATATATTCAAAGCACTCAAAGAAAAAAGAAAAACCCTGTCTATCAAGAATACTATACCCTGCAAATATTAAAAGTAGTTCTTCAAGTTGAAAAGAAAGTATACTAAAGAGCAAACGATAGCTGAAGAAAGTTTAAAACCCATTGATAAAAGTAAATATATAGACAAATACAGATATAACGTTCAAAGCATATCAATACTAAAAAATCAACAAAAGAGGAAAAAAGGAACAAATGAGCTACAAGACAAAGTAAACAATTAACAAAATAATAATAGTAAATCCTACCATATCGATAATTACTTTAAACTGATTTAACTCCCTAATAAAAAAACATGAAGTTGCTGAATTAATTGAACTTTAGATTTAATACAACATACAGACTAAAAACTAAGTGATAGAAAGGATACATATGCAAATGGTAACCAAAAGAAAAGAAGGATGACTGTACTTATATCAGACCAGATAGGCTTTAAGTCTAAAACTGTGACAAGATATAAAGGACATTCTATAATAATGAAAAACTAAATTCAGGAAGACAGTATAATTACAAATATATGTGGACCTAACATTAGAGTACCTAAATTTATAAAGAAAACACTGATAAAACTGAAGGGAGAAATAGGAATACAATAAGAAGTGACTTCAAAATCTCACTCTCAGTAATTGACAGAGGAAAGACAGAAAATCAACAAGAAACAGCAGTCTTGGCTAACACGAAAGAAAAACTGACTTAACAGGTAAACAAAATATTGCACTCAATAGCAGTAGAATATATGTTCTTTTCAAGTACACATGAAATAACTTCCAGGATAGATTACATGGTAGGTCACAACAAATAGTAAATTTAAGATGATTTAAATTATACTAAGTATCTTTTTGAAACACAATAGAATGAAATAAAAAACAAATATCACAAGGAAAACTTCAAAGTTTACAAATATGAGGAAATTAAATAAAAACTTTTGAACATCCAGTAGATCAAAGGAGAAATCAAAACAGAAATCAGAAAATATCTTGAAACAAATGAAAATGAAAACACAACATACCAAACTAATGAAATGCAGCAAGGGCAGTATTAAGAGGGAAGTTTTTCATGATAAACACTTATATAAAAAAGAACAAATAAGTAAGAATCCTATCTTTAAACCTCAAGGAACTAAAACAAAAAGAATAAACTAAGTTCAAAGTTAAGTGAAGAAAGGAAATAACAAAGATCAGAGCAGAAATAAATAAAATATAGAATAGAAAAACAGAGAAATCGACAAAACTAAGAGTTGGTTTTTTTTAAAAGATCCACAATTTTGGGAAATAATTAGCTAGATTATCTAAGGAAAAAAGGGAAGATTCAAATAAAATTAAAAATGAAAGAGTAGACATTATCACTGCTGCCATAGAAACATTAAAAATCATAAGAGATTACTATGAACAACTATAAACCAACAAACTGGATAACAGGAGAAATAAATAGATTTCTAGAAACATGAATTCTGCTGAGACTCAATCATGAAGAAAAAAATCTGAACATAATAATAACTAGTAAGGAAATTGACTCAATAATAAAAAGCCTCTGATAGAAAAATCCAGGACCAGAATGCTCCATAGATGAATTCCACCAAAAATTTACAGAATAATTAATGCCAATTTTCAATGTCATCCATAAGAATTGAAAAGGAGAGTATAACTCCAAACACATTTTATAAGGCCAGAATTACCTTGATACCAAACTCAAAGATACCATATGAAAATACAACCATAGGGCAATAGCCCTGAAAAATATAGACACAAAAATCCTCAATAAAATCTCAAAAAAAATTTAACATCATATCAACAAAATCATACACTATGATCAATTTATCCTTGGGATGTAAGATAAGTTCAACATATGAAAATCAATTAATGTAATATATCATATTAAAAGAATGAAGACACAGTTATCTAAATAAATGTAGAAAAAAAGATATAAAATTTGTGATAAGACTCTTTTGTGATTATAACTCTCAATAAACTAGGTATAGAAGAAGTGTACCTGAACATAATACAAGCCATACATGACAAGTCCACGGCCAACATCGTACTTAATGGTGACACTATCAAAACTTTTTCTCTAAGAACAGGAACAAGGCAAAAATGTTTACTTTCAGCATGACTATTTAACATAATACTAGAAGATCTACACAAAACAATTAGGCAGTAGAAAAAAATTAAAAGCATCTAAATTGGAAAGTAAAAAGAAGTATCTCGGTTTGCAGATGATACAATCTAATATGTAGAAACCCTAAAATCTTCATACATATACACCAAAAAACAACTAGTAAAACTAATAAGCAATTCAGTTAAGTGGTAAGATACAAATTCACCTTACAAAAATTAGTCATATTTTTATACACTAAAAATATACTCTCTGAAAAGGAAAATAATCCCATTTACTATAGTATTAAAAAGTAAAAAAATCTTAGGAATAAACTTAACTAAGGACTAAGTTAAGGCCAGTGCCCTGAAAACTACAAAACATTAATGAAAGAAATTAAGGACACAAAAAAAGTAAAGATATTCTATGTTCATTAATTGGGAGAATTAATATTATTAAAATGTCTATACTACCCAAAGCAATATACAGATTCAATATGATTCCTATTTAAAAATCTCAATGGCATTATTTACAGAAATATGTATATAAATTCTAAAATTCACATGGAATCACAGAAGACCCTAAATAGCCAAAACAATCTTGAGAAAGAATAAATATGGAGGCATAACAATTCCTGAAAGTTTGTAATATATCACAAAGCAATAGTAATTAAAACAGTATGGCAGTGGCGAAAAGACAAATAGATCAATAGGTCAGAATAGACAGTCAAGAAGTAAATCCACACATATACAGTCAGTCAATCTTTGACAAGGATACTAACAATACATGATGGGGAAAGGATAGTATCTTTAATAAGTCATGTTGGGAAAACAGAAATTTCACATGTAAAAGAATAAATTTGAACTAATAACTTAGACCATACACAAAAATCAACTCAAAATGGATTGAAAACTTAAATGAAAATCTGAACATATAAAATTCCTTGTAGAAAATATTCAGGAAATGCTTTATGACATTGATCTAAGCAACAATTTTCCACGTATGACAACAAAAATACAGGCAACAAAAGCAAAAATAAGTAAGTGGGACCACATTAAACCAAAAAGTTTCTTCACCCAGAGGAAAAAATCAAAGGAGTAAAAATGCAACCTAAAGAATGGGAAAAATATTTGCAAACCATATATCTGATAAGAGATTAGTTTCCAACATATATAAGTAATTAAATACCAAAAAATCTGATTTAAAAATATGCTAAAAATTTTAATAATTATTTCTCCAAATACATACAAATGGCCGAAAAGGATATGCCAAATGTCACTAATCATCAGGGAAATGCTAATGAAAACCATACTGTGATATCACCTCACGTCTGTTAGAATGGCTATTATAAAAATTAACCAAAAAAAACAAGTCTTGGTGAGCATTTGGAGAAATTGAAACTTTTGTACACTGTTGATGGGAGTGAAAATTGGTGCCATTGTTATGGAAAACAGTTACAGAGGTTTCTCAAAAAATTTAAAATAATACTGTCACATAAATCAACAATCCCACTTCTGGTTATTTATCCACAACAACTGAGACAAGAATTTCAAAGAGATATTAGCATCCCAATACTCATTGCAGCACAATTCACAATAGGGAAAATGTGAAAGCAATGTAAATGTCTACTGAAGGATTAATGGATAAAGAAAATGTTGTGTGTGTGTGTATACTTATGTGTGTGTGTATACATATTTGCTTCTTTTTATATATAATATATAATGGAATATTATTCAGCCTTTAAAAAGAAGGAAATTCTACAATATGTGACAACATGATGAACTGTGAGGACATCATACTAAGCAAAATTAGCTAGTCACAGGATAAACACTGAATGATTGCTCTTATATGAGGTAACTAAAATAGTCAAACATATAGAATTAAGAGAATGGAATGATGGTTACCAGGGATAATATTCCGGGGGAAAGACAGAAATGGGAAATTGCAATTATATGGGCAGACATTTTAAATTATGCAAGATGAATATGTTCTAGAGATCTGCTGTACACCATTTTTCCTATAGTTAACAATACTGTATTGTGCACACAGAAATTTGTCTGGTGGGTAAGTTCATGTTAAGCGTTCTTACCTCAATGAAATTTTTTTTAATATATAGAAATAAGGAATAAAAAATTTGGAAAAGGTAGTATTCATTAAAACTGATAAAGTGATAGTGTCTAAAATATTCCTAATGTGGTTATACCATGCAGACTTGCTCTTTAGTTCTTTTGTAATGTCTGGCACTGCTTATACCAATTATTACAGAGCTTAGCTAGGAAAATAACATGCAGTTGACGAACTAAGGCCTATCTTGCCAAAGGCCTTTTCTTGACTCTAGTTCTTTTTCCTGTGACTTTTCACAAGCAAGTAGATGTCTTCTAGGACTTCTCCTAGCTATTTTCTACTTTGTTTCTTAAGAAGAAAATGTATAAATGATCTCTCAATGTCGCTCTTTATTTGCCCTCTTTTGCAATTTATCTAGTGTAATTCCTTTAATTGCATGTCATTTCAAATTCATTTTTTTCTAATTTCCGGAGCTATTTTATTATTTTTCCCAATTTTATATTTCTTAGTCCATATAAATCAGTTTTTGAAAATTGTTTTGGGACTCTCTTTCTCATAATTCCTATTGGTTTTATACTTGCCCATAATGAATAAGAAAAACAAATAAAATAAAACAAATTTAAAAAGCAGATATAGAACATTCAGATAAAATTTTATTGTTTTGTACAAAGAATATATTACAGTAATATGAACTACTTTATAATCAAAATAAAGCCATATTTTAGTATCTCAGCTTATAGGTACTATAATTTCACTTATGTAGGACTTATTTGCACTTTTTAGTATTAATTATATATCAAGATAAAGGGTTCAATTCAATAAGATCTAAATATACGTGAATCCAACACAGGAGCAACCAGATTTATAAAGCAAGATCTCAGAGACTGTCAAAGAGATTTAAACTCCCACACACTAATTGTGGGAGACTTTAACACTCTAGTAAAAAGATTTGACTGATCAATGAGACAGAAAATTAACAAAGATATTCAGGGCATGAACTCAGCTCTGAATCAAATGGATCTGATAGATACCTACAGAACTCTTGACTCAAAACCAATAGAATATACACTCTTCTCATCACCACATGGCCCTTGCTCTAAAATGAAATAACTGGAAGTAAAACACTTCTCAGCAAATACAAAAGAACAGAAATCATAGCAAACAATGTATCAGACCACAGCACAACCAAATTAGAAATCAAGACTAAAAAATGCACACAAAACTATACAAATACATGGAAATTAAATAACCTGCTACAGAATGATTTTTAGGTAAATAATGAAATTAAGGCAAAAATCAAGTTCTTTGAAAATAATGAGAACAAAGATGCAACATACCAGAATCTCTGGAAGACAGCTATGGCAGTGTTAACAGGGAAATTTATAGCACTAAATGTGCACATCAAAAAGCTGGAAATATCTCAATTTACCAACCTAACATCACACCTTAAAGAACTGGAGGATCAAGAGTAAAGAAATCCCGAAGCTAGCAGAAGACAATAACAAAAATTAGAGCTAAACTGAAGGAGACAGAGACATGAAAATTCATTCAAAAGATCAATGAATCCAGGAGCTGTTTCTTAATAAAAATTAATAAGATAGATGGACCACTAGTTAGGCTAACAAAGATGAAAAGAGAGAAGAGTCAAATAAACCCAATCAGAAATGACAAGAGAGATATTACCACTGAGCCCACAGTGATACAAACAAACCATTAGAGTATATTATGAACATATCCATGCACACAGACTGGAAACTAGAAGAAATGGATACATTCCTGAACATACACACTTTTCGAAGACTGAACCAGGAAGAAATTGAATCCTTGAACAGACCAGTAATGAGTTCTAAAATTAAGGCAGCAATAAATAGCCTATCAAAACAAACAAACAAACAGAAACAAACAACAATGACAACAAAAACATGGTACCAAACAGATTCACAGCTGAATTCTACCAGGTGTACAAAAAAGAGTTCGTACCATTCCTACTGAAACTATTTCAAAATATTGATAAGAGACTCCCCGCTAACTCATTCTATGAGGACAGCATAATTCTGATATCACAACCTTGCAGAGATACAACAAGAAAAGAAAACATCAGGCTAATATCCTTGATGAACATGAATGCAAAATTCCTCAACAAAATACTGGCAAACTAAATCCAGCAGAATATCAAAAAGCTTATCCACCATGATCAAGTAGGCTTCATCCCCGGGATGCAAGTTTGGTTCAACACACACAAATCAATAAATGTGATTCATAACATAAACAGAACTAAAGACAAAAGCCACCTGATCATCTAAATAGATGCAAAAAAGGCCTTTGATAAAATTCAACATCCCTGCAAGTTAAAAACTCTCAATAAAGCAACATACCTCAAAATAAGAAGAACCATCTCTGACAAGCCCACAGTCAATATTATACTGAATAGACAAAAACTGGAAGCATTCCCCTTGAACACCGACACAAGAGAAGGATGCCTTCTCTCAACACTCCTACTCAACATAGTATTGGAAGTTCTGGCCAGGCCAATCAGGCAAGAGAAAGAAATAAAGGCATTCAAATAGGAAGGAAGTCAAACTATCTCCGTTTGCAGAAGACATGATTCTATATCTAGAAAACCCCAAAGTTTCAGCCCAAAAGCTTCTTAAGCTGATAAACAACTTTAGCAAAGTCTCGGGATACAAAACCAATGTGCAAAAATCACTAACATTCTTATAAACCAACAACAGTCAAGCCAAGAACCAAATCAGAAATGTACTCCCATTCACAATTGCCAGAAAAATAATAAAATGACTAGGAATACAGCTAACTAAGGAGGTGAAAGACTTAAACAAGGAGAACTACAAACCACTATTCAAAAGAATCACAGATAACATAAATGGAAAAGCATCCATGCTCATGGATACTAATAATTAACATCTTTAAAATGGCCAAACTGTCCAAAGCAATTTATAGATTCAATGCTATTCCTGTTAAACTACCATTGACATGATTCACAGAACTAGAGAAAACTATTTTATAATTCATATGGAACCAGAAAACAGCCATAATAGCCAAGGCAATCCTAAGCAAAAAGAACAAAGCTGGAGGCATCACACTACCCAACTTTAAATTATACTACAGGGCTACAGTAGCCAAAACAGTGTGGTGCTTGTACAAAAACAGACACATGGACCAATCAAACAGAATGGAGAATCCAGAAATAAGTCTGCACACCTAGAACTGCCTGACTTCAAAAAACATAACAAGCACAAGAAATGGGAAAAGGATTCCCTATTCAATAAATGGTGCTGGTATAACTGGCTAGACATATGCAGAAGATTGAAACCGGACACCTTCCTTACACCATCTACAAAAATTAACTCAAGATTAATTAAAGACTTCAATGTAAAATCCAAATCTATAAAAACCCTGGAAAACAACCTAGGCAATATCATTCTGGATATAGGCACGAACAAAGATTTAATGAGGAAGACACCAAAAGCAAAAATCGACAATGGATCTAATTAAACAAAAGAGTTTCTGCACAGCAAAAGAAATTATCAACAGACGAACTACAGAATGGGAGAAAATATTTGCAAAATATGCATCCAACAAAAGTGTAATACTCAGCATCTATAAGAAACTTAAATTTACAAGAAAGAAACAAGCAACCCCATAAAAAAGTGGGCTAAGGACATGAACAAATACTTCTCAAAAGAAGACATACATGCAGCCAACAATCATATGAGAAAAGCTCAACATTACTGATCATTAGAGAAATACAAATCAAAACCACAATGAGATACCATCTAACAACACTCAAAATGGCTATCATGAATATTAAAAAGTCAAAAAATAATAAATGCTGGTGAGGTTGCAGAGAAAAAGGAACTCTTATGCACTGTTGGTGGGAATGTGTATTAGTTCAGCTATTGTGGAAGACAGTGTGATGATTCCTCAAAGACCTAAAGACAGAAATACGATTAGACCCAGCAATCTCATAATTGGGTATATACCCAAAGGAGTAGAAATCATTCTAATATAAAGACACATGCACATGTGTGTTCATTGCAGCACTATTCACAATAGCATAGATATGAAATTAACCTAAATGCCCATCAATGGTATACTGCATAAAGAGAATGTGGTACATATAAACCATGGAATACTAGACAGCCATAAAAAGAACAAGATCATGTACTTTGCAAGCATGTGGATGCAGCTGGAGGAAATTATTCTTACGAAACTAATGCAAGAACAGAAAACCAAATATGGCATGTTCTCACTTACAAGAGGGAGCTAAATGATGAGAACATGTGGACACATAGAAGAGAACAACAAACACTGGGGCCTTTCAGAGGGTGGAAGGTGGGAAAAGGGAGATGATCAGAAAAAAATAACTAATGGGTACTAGGCTTAATACCTGGGTAATAAAATAATCTGCACAACCAACCCCCATTATACACATTTACCTGTGTAACAAACCCTGCATTTATACCCTGAACTTAAAAGTTAAAAAAACTGTATGTCATACAGTTATGTTTTCTTTTATTCATTTTCTCATTTTATTCATTAGTTTTAAGATTATACCTGTTTATATATTTATGAGAAAATTCTATTTTTCCTTTATTAGGAAGTCTCTTTATGCCCTAGTTACATTAACATATTTATCTAATTTCCTAATATTTTACTAATATATTATTTTTCCTAATATATGGGATTAAGCCTGCAACATAATTTTTATGTTTTAAAGTTTTAAGAAAAATGTCTCTTAGGTAAATGGTCAAATATTGCACAGAATCGTCTCATAAAAAATAGTAATACAGGGATTTCTGGCAAGATGGCTGAATAGGAACATCTCTGGTCTGCAGCTCCCAGCGGGATTGATGCAGAAGATGAGTGATTTCTGCATTTCCAGCTGAGGTACCTGGTTCATCTCAATGAGACTGGTTGGACAGAGGGTGCAGCCCATGGAGGGCGAGACGAAGCAGGGCAGGGTGTCACCTCAATCGAGAAATGCAAGGGGTCGGGGAAGCCCTGAGAGACCCTACCAGGAGAAATGGTACACTGCTGCCCAGATACTGCACTTTTCCCACAGTCTTCGCAACCAGCAGACCAGGAGATTCCCTCCAGTGCCTGGCTCGGTGGGTCCCATGCCCACAGAGCCCAGCAAGCTAAGGTCCATTGGCTTGAAATTCTAGCTGCTAGCTCAGCAGTCTGAGATTGACCTGGGACACTGGAGCTTGGCTGGAGGAGGGGTGTCCACCATTGCTGAGGCTTGAGTAGGTGGTTTTACGCTCACAGTGTAAACAAAGCTGCAGGGAAGTTCAAACTGGGCAGAGCCCACTGAAGCTCAGCAAGGCCGACTGCTTCTCTAGATTCCACCTCTGTGGGCAGGGCATCTCTGAACAAAAGGCAGCAGCCCCAGTCAGGGACTTATAGATAAAACCCTCATCTCCCTGGGACAGAGCACCTGGGGGGAAGGGGCAGCTGTGGGCACAGCTTCAGCAGATGTAAATGTCCCTGCCTGACAGCTCTGAATAGAGCAGTGGTTATCCCAGCACAGCATTCAAGCTCTGATAACAAACAGACTACCTCCTCAAGTGGGACCCTGACCCCCGTGTAGCCTGACTGGGAGACATCTCCCAGTAGGAGCCAACAGACACCCCATACAGGAGAGCCCTGGCTGGCATCTGGTAGGTGTCCCTCTGGGATGAAGCTTCCAGAGGAAGGATCAGGCAGCAATATTTGCTGTTCTGCAGCCTCCACTGGTGATACTCAGGCAAACAGGGTCTGGAGTGGACCTCCAGCAAACTCCAACAGACCTGCAGCTAAGGGGCCTGACTGTTAGAAGAAAAATTAACAAACAGAAAGGAATAGCATCAACATCAACAAAAAGTACATGCACACAAAACCCCCAACTGTACGTCACCAACATCAAAGACAAAAGGTAGATAAAACCACAAAGATGGGGAGAAACCAGGGCAGAAAAGCTGAAAATTCCAAAAACCAGAATGCCTCTTCTCTTCCAAAGGATCACAACTCCCCACCAGCAAGTGAACAAAACTGGATGGAGTATGAGTTTGACGAATTGACAGAAGTAGGCTTCAGAAGGTGGGTAATAACAAACTCCTCCAAGCTAAAGGAGCATGTCCTAACCCAACACAAGGAAGCTAACAAACTTGAAAAAAGGTTAAACAAATAGCTAACTAGTATAACCAGTGTAAAGAAGAACATAAATGACCTGATGGAGCTGAAAAACACAGCACAAGAACTTGGTGAAGCATACACAAGTTTCAATAGCCGAATTGATCATGTGGAACAAAGGATATCAGTGATTGAAAATCAACTGAATGAAATAAAGCAAGAAGACAAGATCAGAGAAAAAAGAGTGAAAAGAAACAAAGCCTCCAAGAAATATGGGACTCTGTGAAAAGACCAAATCTACGTGTGATTGGTGTACCTAAAATTATTGACCACATAAATGGGAGTAAAACACTCCTCAGCAAATGTAAAAGAGCAGAAATCACAACAAAGTGTCTCTCAGACCACATTGCAATCAAATTATACTGCAAGATTAAGAAACTCACTCAATACTGCACAACTACATGGAAACTGAACAACCTGCTCCTGAATGACTACTGGGTATATAACTAAATAAAGATGTTCTTTGAAACCAATGAGAACAAATACACAACGTACCAGAATCTATAGGACACAGCTAAAGCAGTATTAAGAGGGAAATTTATAACACTAAATGCCCACAAGAGAAAGCAGGAAAGATCTAATATTGAAAGCCTAACATCACAATTAAAAGAACTAGAGAAGCAAGAGCAAACAAATCCAAAAGCTAGCAGAAGACAAGAAATAACTAAGATCAGAGCAGAACTGAAGGAGATAGAGACATAAAAAACCCTTCAAAAAAATCAATAAATTCAGGATCTGGTTTTTTGAAAAGATAACAAAATAAATAGACTGCTAGCCAGACTAATAAAGAAGAAACGAGGGAAGAATTAAATAGATGCAAAAAAAATATGAAGGGGATATCACCACTTATCCCATAGAAATACAAACTACCATCAGAGAATACTATAAACACCTCTATGCAAATAAACTAGAAAATCTAGAAGAAATAAATTAATTCCTGTTTGCAGATGACATGATTGTATACTTAGAAAACCCCATTGTCTCAGCCCCAAATCTCAAGCTGATAAGCAGCTTCAGCAAACTTCAGGATACAAAATCAATGTGCAAAAATCAGAAGCATTCCTATACAGCAATAACAAACACAGAGAGCCAAATCATGAGTGAACTCCCACTCACGATTGCTACAAAGAGAATAAAATACCTAGAAATCCAAATTACAAGGGATATGAAGGACCTCTTCAAGGAGAACTACAAACCACTGTTCAAGGAAATAAAAGAGGACACAAATGGAAGAACATTCTGTGCTCATGAATAGGAAGAATCAATATTGTGAAAATGGCCATAGTGCTTAAAGTAATTTATAGATTCAATGCTATCCCCATAAATCTACCATTGATTTTCTTCACAGAATTGGAAAAAAAAACTACTTTAAATTTCAGATGATCCAAAAATAGAGCCCACATAGCAAAGACAATCCTAAGCAAAAAGAACAAAGCTGGAGGCATCATGCTACCTGACTCAAACTATACTACAAGGCTACAGTAACCAAAACAGCATGGTACTGGTACCAAAACAGATATATAGACCAATGGAACAGAACAGAGGCCTCAGAAATAACACCACACATCTACAACCATCTGATCTTTGACAAACCTGACACAAACTAGCAATGGGGAGAGGATTCCCTATTTAATAAATGGTTCTGGGAAAACTGGCTAGCCATATGCAAAAAGCTGAAATTGGATCCCTTCCTTACACCTTATAAAAAATTAACTCGAGATGGATTAAAGACTTAAATGTAAGACCTAGCACCATAAAAACCCTAGAAGAAAACCTGGGCAATATCATTCAGGACATAGGCATGGGCAAAGACTTCATGACTAAAATACCAAAAGCAATGGCAACAAAAGCCAAAGTAGACAAATGGGATCTAATTAAACCTAAGAGCTTCTGCACAGGAAAAGAAACTATCAGCAGAGTAAACAGGCAACCTACAGATTGGGAGAAAATTTTTGCAATCTATCCATCTGACAAAGGGCTAATATCCAGAATCTACAAAGAACTTAAACAAATTTACAAGAATAAAACAAACAACCCCACCAAAAAATGGGGAAAGTATATGAACAGACACTTCTCAAAAGAAGACAATTACACAGCCAACAAACTTAAGAAAAAAATGCTCATCATCACTGGTCATTAGAGAAATGCAAATCAAAACCACAATGAGATACCATCTCACGCCAGTTAGAATGGTGATCATTAAAATGTCAGGAAACAACAGATGTTGGAGAGGATGTGGAGAAATAGGAACGCTTTTACATTGTTGGTGGCAGTGTAAATTAGTTCAACCATTGTGGAAGACAGTGTGGCAATTCCTCAAGGATCTAGAACCAGAAATACCATTTGACCCAGCAATCCCATTACTGGGTATATATCCAAAGCATTATAAATCATTCTACTATAAAGATACATGCTCACATACATTTATTGCAGCACTGTTCACAATAGCAAAATCTTGGAACCAACCCAAATGCCCATCAATGATAGACTGGATAAGGAAAATGTGGCAATATACACTACGGAATACTATGCAGCCATAAGAAAGGAATGGTTCATGTCCTTTGCAGGGACATGGATGAAACTGGAAACCATCATTCTCAGCAAAGTAACACAAGAAGAGAAAACCAAACACCATGTGTTCTCACTCATAAGTGGGAGCTGAACAATGAGAACACATGGACACAGGGAGGGGAACATCACACACAGGGGCCTGTCAGGGGGTAGGGGGCTGGGGGAGGGATAGCATTAGGGAGAAACACCTAATGTAAATGATAACTTGATGGGTGCAGCAAACCAATGCGGCACATGTATATCTATGTAACAAACCTGCACGTTGTGCACATGTACCCCAGAACTTAACATACAATAAAAAAAAGTAATACAACAAAAACTTAAGCTTATTCATTCATACAATGAATATTATTCAAATAGCTACTCTATGCCAATCCCATTCTGAGAGTTTACAATAGAGTAGTGAACAAAAGAGGTGAAGGTCTATTTTACATCAAGTTCACAATTAAAGCTCATGCTTTATATTTAAAATATTTTAATGGACCCTAATTTTTTCTTTCTTCCAATTAACAAGTAGTTCTTTTGCAATTCTGTGAGATCTCACTAATTAAAGCTTTGCTTATAGCTTAATACTAAGAATTAACCTGTCTGATATTAATTATCACTTGAGGTAATACAATGAAGGCATATTTACTTCTCAGTATGTGAAAATAGCATTAATCTTAGTATTTTAGTAAACTCAGAATTTTCTTGGATGTGCTACTTCATTTGATGAATCCAAGATGTGTTTCTTATATGAAATACAAGAGTTTAATCCAAGTATATTTTTGTGTTAGTTTAGCCTTTTATAGGACATGACTATGAAATAAGTTTCCCCCCACCGGACCTCAAATATAATGTGCTAAAGGAACATTTAATAGAATCTTCTTTGGAAAAGAACTTCAGAGATAAATAATGAACATCCAATTAGCCTTATGATATGTGGAAAAGTTATAGATCAGTTACAAATCCATGGTTAATTTTTTTCACCCTTGCAGAGGAAGGGTTGACAATCATAGATACTATTTCAGCTGGAAAGCATTTCTAGTCTTCTGAGAATGAAGAAAGAAAAAAAATTAGGTATCACTAAGTCCAGGTTTATATTTTCCATAGATATCATTAAAAACAAGGTTTTAAAAAATAACCTTAAAATCTCAAGAATATTCTCACTTCATTATCATTATATCAGTACTGGGGTTGACTGTATGATACACAAATTCATCTAAATGTATTTAGGGACCTATATTTTGCCAAAGTAGTTGATATAGTTTTGGTGTTTGTCCCTTCAAATCTCATGTTGAAATGCTATCCCCAGTTGGAGGTGGGACCTTGTGGGAAGTTTGGATCATGACGGTGGATCTCTCATGAATGGCTTAGTGCCGTCTGCTTGGTGATGAGTGAGTCCTCACTCTGAGTTCATGTGAGATCTGGTTCTTTAAAAGGGTGTGGCACCTCCCCTTGTGCTCCCTTGCTCCCCCTCTCACCATGTGACATATGCCCACTCCTCCTTTTCCTTCCACCACAATTGTGTGCTTCCCGATACCTTCACCAGAGGCAGATGCCAGTACCATGCTTCCTATGCAGCCTGCAGAACCATGAGCCAATTAAACCTTTTCTCTTTATAAATAATTTCGCAGCCTCATATATTCCTTTAGAGTGACTCAAACAGACTAATACAGTAATAAAATTATATTTCATCGCTCTTCATACTCATTAGAGAACTTTTTCATGTGTGATATGATCTGGCTGTGTCCCCACCCAAATCTCTTCTTGAATTTGTAGTTCCCATAATTCTCACATGTTATGGGAGGGACCCAGTTGGAGATAACTGAATCATGGGGGCAGTTTCACCCATACCGTTTTGTGGTAGTGAATAAGTCTCATGAGATCTGATGTTTTTACAAGGGGTTTCCCCTTTCACTTGGCTCTCATTCTCTCTCTCTTGCCTGCTGCAATGTAAGATGTGCCTTTTACCTTTCACCATGAATGTGAGGACTCCCCAGCCATATGGAACTGTGAGTCCATTAAACCTCTTTTTTCCTTATAAATTACTCAGTCTCAGGTATGTCTTTATTAGCAGTGTGAGAACAGACTAATACAATGTGGATTCAAAGTTTTGCTTGATATTATATATCACATATAAATAAATACAATTACAATGATTTAATGGCCACCATAATACAAAAATGTGCTGTAACTAATATGAGGAAAACAGTTCTACTCCTGACCCTGCTAACTCAGCTAAAAACGTATGCCATTATGGGCGTTAGTTACAATCTACAGAATGAAATGACTGGTTAACAAATCTCTAAAGTGATATTTGACTTAAAGTATAGATTTATTATATATGTGTGTATGCCTCTGTGCATGTATAAATACACACAAGAATGAAAAGAAATGGCCAAAATGTTAGACGTACATCTAAAAGTTTTGATGTATCTTTTATTATGTTAATTAGAATATCAGAAATTATAGTTGTCAGGAAGAACTGAGCTTTGTTTCTATTTCAATAGTTTTTGGGGTACAGGTGGTTTTTGGTTACATGGATATGTTCTTTGGTAGTGAATTCTGATATTTTAGTGCACTCATCACCTGAATGGTTTACACTGCACCCAGTAGGTAGTCTTTTATCCCTCACCCTCCTCCCAACCTCCCCCTACCGCTGGTCCCAAAAGGCCATTATATCACTCTGTATGATTTTGTGTCCCCTTGGATCAGCTCTCACTTACAAGTGAGAATATACAGTATTTGATTTACCATTCCTGAGTTACTTCACTTAGAATAATGCCTCCAGCTCCATCTAAGTTGCTGCAAAAGACATTATTTTGCTCCTTTTTATGGCTGGGTAGTATTCATGGTATCTATCTATCTATCTATCTATCTATCTATCTATGTTTATATATATATATAACATTTTCTTTATCCACTCATTGGTAGATAAGCATTTAGGATGGTTCCATATTTTTGCAATTGCAAATTGTGCTGCTATAAACATGCATGTGCATCTGTCTTTTTCATGTAATGACTTCTTTTCCTTTGAGTAGATACCCAGTATTAGGATTGCTGGATCAAATAGCAAATCTACACTTAAGACCTGAGCTTTTTAATGCCCCAGGAGGTATAATACTATGGGTAAAAAAGAATATTTCTAGTATTAGATTAGAGTTAGATTTGTCCATGTATTAGCTAGTACAACCAAGATAATGTCAATAGCTACATCATAGGGTTGCTATATTGCTTAATGAGTTAATATACGCCCTCTGCATATATTAATATATGCAATATAGCAACCCTATGATGAACAAGGTACACAATAACATCAAGAAATGCTTGCTAGTAGTAGTATTATTTCTATCAATATCAAGGTAAAGAAAAGCATTAAAAAATCTTTTCAAAATTCTACTTTTAAAAAAAGTTCTGGGATACATGTACAGAATGTGCAGGGTTGTTACATAGGTATACATGTGCCATGGTGGTTTGCTGCACCTATCAACCCGTCATCTAGGTTTTAAGCCCCTCATGCTTTAGGTATTTGCCCTAATGCTCTCCCTCCCCTTGCCCCCCAGCCCCGACAGGCCCCAGTGTGTGATATTCCCCTTCCTGTGATCAAAATTCTATTAAGAGGTTTTATTTATTCTTACAACTGGCAGATTACAGCTCTGTTAACCACAAAGCAAAAGCTATCTTCTGATCTATAAAGATACTGTTTTCTTATTTACAGTAACTGAAAAAAGAATATTAAATATTCTTGTTACGTGTAATGTGGCTGTCCTGATCAGTGAGTTTGTTATGCAATACCATTTTAGAGTGTTTATCTTATATTTTTATCATATTATCAAAGAATTTGACAACTTTACAAGCCGCATAAAATATTTAAATACATGCAGTTTCACATACTAAAAATCGGAATGATTCAATATATTTAAGATTTATGCAATTTTCTGCATGCTTATTATATGTCAATAAATGTTTTAGTAAAAAACACTTCTTTCTTAGTAAAATGCAATATAAACTCAATATTACCAAAAATGGTAACGCTGTGACGGAAAGTTGGTATAGTAGTAGGTGAAGTTTATTTTTTTCATATAACAAAATAGCTGATTTTTATACATGTCAATTCTCAAGTGAAAAGTGTCACTGGCAGTGAAATTTGCATGTCATTACCTCAAATTTCAAATGGTAAAATCTCTGGAGAGTTACATAGTTCAAGTGCTTTGTTGCAAGTCTCTATCCTATTTTGGGATCTCAGAGGGCCATTTCCTATTCTTAGGTATATGCTTCTCATTTTCATGTTAAAAAGTCATGTAAAAATGCTCAAACAAAAAATATCGAATGGATATAGGTATAACATGTGGTGGAAATATGAACATAGTCAGCCCTGGTTCTGATCACTTAAGTACATGCCATAAATAAAAAGCTTTCTCATGAAAAACTTAAATGTGTGTAATTTGACCTATGCAGCCTCATATAAATTTCCTAATTGTGTTAAACAAAAATATCTTGTCAATATAAGTCATATATTTTCTATGTATAATATATAATGGCAATATGCTATTACTCAGAAATATTGTGATATACAAATATATATATATACACACACATACTATATACACCTGTAATTACATGTTTAAAAGAAGGAACTCATGATGTATACATCTTGAGATCCTGAGGCCTTTTTATTTAAAATTAATTAAAATATAAGAGATTTTAGCTGGGCATGGTGGTGTATGCCTGTAATACCAGCTACTCGGGGGCTGAGGCAGGATAATTGCTTGAACCCAGAAGGTGGAGGTTGCAGTGAGCCGAGATCACACCACTGCACTCCAGCCTGGGCGACAGAGCGAGACTCCACCTCAGAAAAAAAGATAAAAATAAATAAAATACAATACAATATAAGAGATATAAATTATATTGTAAATTTATCTCATTCTGTTAAATAATTTTCACGTTGGTCAGTTCACTAGCATGATCAGAGAGAACAATTTTTTTCCTCATAAAATATGTATGAAATCATTATTTCTATTCTACAGGTGCTCCTATGATCACTCTTTTTAATAGAATAGTAAGTATAAATGTTTATTGTCTCATACTGAGTTTTTTCTTGATGAGCTCAGCAAGCATTGTAGTAGCTAAGTCCAGTGATTCATTGAGTAGTTAGACACAATTTAAATTTGCATAAGATCTATAGCTCTATCTATATACATATCTGTATCTCTATATCTTAAATTACATATTATATATATACACACACACACATACACACACAGGTCACTTAATATTATAATAGTTATTTACTGCAATGCTGTGATGAAAATGCCTATGGAGGAAAAAAGTAAATTTATATGGTAAAGCTATTACAGAAAGTGATCCTGTAGAGCATATAAAAACTTACTTTGCTTGGAAATTATTTTTCCAGTATGATATAGAAAAAATATGCAGTATTACAGTTAGATAAAGTTAAATTTTTACCCTTTGAGGATGATGTTTGTTTCAATGCCTTGATCAACTAGGTATTGTTCTCAATATCAGTTTTGTCACTGACTACCCGTGTGACGTGATAATTAAAAGCCTAGTTTCAACAATTAAGGGGGGATTAAATCTATAACTTTCAATATTACAGAGATTACAACATTGCAAACATTGCAATAAAATACTGAAGTCAGTAGCATGTGTTTACCAAAAACCACAGCTCTTATTTTTGCTGTTGAGGATCTCTAAGGGTGTATACTATGAACAGTATATAAGTAGCATTCATCAGTAAATCCTTAAAGAATTACCATGTGTCAGAGTGGCAAAAGGAAAAATAAATATAGTTCCCACCTTTATATATTCATGGAGCTAATAGTCTGTAGGGTAAAACAAACAAGAAATACAAAAAAAAAAAAAAGCTACACACTTAGCACCAATTCTATGTGTTAAGAATGTAACAAGCAAGGCATCCTTATGGACACCATTGGGCAGAGTGGGAAACAGCCTTAGGTCACTAACGTGTTGATGTTGAAACTGACATAGAGAGTGCTAGTCATCCAAAAAGTATGATGATATGTTGTCAAGGATATGGAGAAATTGGAACCCTGAGCACTTTTGGAGGGAATGTAAAATAGTGCAGCCACTGTAAAAAATAGTATGGTGATTCTTGTAAAAAATAAAAGTAGAATTAACATATGACCTAGAAAATTCATTCTTGGGATATATCCTAAAGAATTAAAAGTAGGGGCCAGGCACGGTGGCTCACACCTGTAATCCCAGCACTTTGGGAGGCCGACGCGGGCAGATCACAAGGTCAAGAGATCGAGAGCATCCTGGCCAACATGGTGAAATCCTATCTCTACTAAAAATACAAAAATTAGCTGGGTCTGGTGGCACGTGTCTGTAGTCCCAGCTACTCGGGAGGCCAGGGCAGGAGAATAGCTTGAACCCAGGAGGCAGAGACTGCAGTGAACCAAGACTGCACCACTGCACTCCAGCCTAGTGACAGAGTGAGATTTTGTCTAAAAAAAAAAAAAAAAAAAAAAAAAAGAAGTAGGGTCTCAAATAAATATTTGTACATTCGCAATAGTCAAAAGGTGGAAGCAACCCAAGTATTTATGGATGGATGAATGGATAAACAAAATATAGTCTATACATATAATGGAATATTTTAAAAAGAAAGAAATTCTGACATGTTACAACATGTATGAGCCTTGAGGACATTATGCTAAATGAAATAAGCCAGTAACAAAAAGACAAATACTGTCTGATTCCATTTACACAAGGTACCTAGAGTAGTCCAACTTGCAAAAATAGAAAATAGAATAGTGGTTGCCAGGCGCTGGGTGAGGGATAAATGAGGAGATATTTAATGGGCATAGAGTTTCAAGTTTGCTGGATAAAAAAGCTTTGGACATCTGTTGCATAGCAACCTGAATATAGTTAACACGGCTGAAGAGTATACTTAATGGTTAAGACGCTAAATAGTATGTTACATGTGTTTTCCACATTTAAAAGTATTTTTAAAATAATAAAATAACAGAAAAAAGCAAGATGATAATATTTAAGACAAAGAGAGCAGGATTTGTGAACATCCAGAAGGATGGGAACAAACCAAACCAAACCAAAACAACTTGGTGCTTTCCCAAAACTACAAGACTAGAGTTTAAGAGCTTCAATCATGAAAGATCATCCAAGGTCTTGCAGGCCATTATTAAGAATTGTACAGTCACTCAAGGAAAAATAAGAAAGCATTGAAAAGTTCTGGATCAATCAACCCCTTGGGAAGGTGCCATTTGTTTCTTAGCCAAACCCTGATGAATATACGAACTCATGATAGAAATAAAAAATAGTCTCTCTTTCCTTTAAACATCCAATATTAAATGTCAAGAGTGATACTGCAGAAAATATGTCATGGCTTTAATGAAAGAAAAGATCTCCATTGGCTATATTTATAGGACTAATAGGGTCATTATATAGAACTAGGGGGACAAAAAAATAACTCACCACCACCACCATCTCTCACCCTGTACCCTTGAAGGTAAAGTCAGTTTCCTATCCTAACAAAAATTTCCAGCAGATTCTGCCTGTTAGGAATGTGGGAACAAAGATATTCATAAAGATGAATAGGATTTGGGAATAAGGAAGGGAAGGTAATGGATAGGGTTACAGGAGGGATTGGCGAAGAGAGAATGATGTTATATAGCAATAAGTGAGGAGTCAGAATCTGCAGGGAAATTCGGTTGGGATAGAAAATTGACTTTGAAAGAAAACATGTTTTTTTTTTTATTTTTACTTTGCATTGCTACTTCGTAAATGCTCTCCAGTTTCATAACACTTCAGTTAATTTTCCACATGTATAAATGTCTCATGTAAGTATTTTAGAAACTAAAAATCAAGGATTTGGTTGAGTTCCTTGTCTGGGTCGATTCAGTACTAAGAAAACTTAATAGCGAGGTGAATGAGATAGGTTTGGGAAAAAGAGTGCATCAGACCCTGAGACTTTGAACCCCGGAGAATGAAATACCTCAGGAAGTTATGGAACATTTAGGAAAGGCACTGGATTACCCACATGACCTAGGTGAACCAACCTAAATCTTGAAAGACAGCATGCGCTAGGATGACATCTGAATTTAAAACAAATGAGTAAAAATTAAATCCTTCTGTATTCTTGAGTACTTCCTGAACTTCTATTCTTGCATTGTCTCATGGACCTCATGAAAGCACATATATTTAGTTCACCAGTGTATACTCACGAAATGTACTCAGCAAATATTTGTTCAATACATAATTGAATACCAGTACCAGATTTATTACCCAATAATGTCACTTTCTCCATGGTCTTCTAAACTGAACACCATTTCTTAACAAAATTTGACCTGCCCGCAATCTCCCCCTTTTCAAAATCCAGAGAAGGAAAGGAGAAGCTGTTTATTATTCTCAAGCATTTGCACACCTTCAATACTCTTCACCTCGAATGTTGTTCAAGTGTCCTATCCTAATTCATCCAGATTTATCACCTCCTCCTTTATTCAGACTTTTGTTTCATAAGTAAACAGCTGTCCCAAATCATCTTCTAATCTCTCCTTCTTGTTGTGCTTTCCAAAAATAAGAACATGTGGCTGGGTGCGGTGGCTCACACCTGTAATCCCAGCACTTTGGGAGCCTGAGGCAGGTGGATCACCTGAGGTCAGGAGTTTGTGACTAGCCTGGGCAACATGGTGAAGTCCCGTCTCTGCTAAAAATACAAAATTAGCTGGGTGTAGTGGCGGGTGCCTGTATTCCCAGCTACTTGGGGAGGCTGAGTCGCTTGAACCCAGGAGATGGAGGTTGCAGTTAGCCAAGGTTGCGCCACTGCACTCCAGGCTAGGCGACAAGAGCAAAACTCTGTCTCAAAAAGAAAAAAAAAAAAGAAAAGAAAAGAAGAACATGCTTGATATTTTACAAGCTTACAAGCCTCAGTTAAATAAACAATAAACAAAATATCTCTGGATTTTGTTAATCTTTTCAGCTATATCCCTGCTCTGGCTCGTTATGATAAAATATTATGATAGAAAGAAAAAAAAACTATATGAAATCAGCTTCTCAATATTTTAGATAGTGCTTATGTTTTATATGTTACTAGCCAATTATGAGTATTAAAACTCAACATATAGTCATTTAACAAAGGGCTTCTATCAGCCTAGTAATAGAAAGCTCAAGAACATTGCAAATGTTTTAATGAGAGAGATCACGTACTTTGAAAACTTGACTAAATATATATACACTTACAAGAGTTTTCATGAGAATCTGCTACATAAGTGTGCAACTCTGCTGGTCCTTATTTCAGTCCAACTGGTCCATCTTTAACAAAAAACATTATCATTTAACATTTACAACACTTGTGTAAGATTAGGCACGATGTGCACTTCCGTTTTCTCATCTAAATCATGGAAGTAACATCTAACTTGTAAGGTTTTCAATAAAGTTATGTATGTAAATCACCTACAGCACTGACATCAATACAAATTATTGTTAATTGGTTGATTCTACTTGTCTGTATTTCTCAATTATATAATTTAAGCCTCTAAGTATGGGATTTTTCTTTTCATAAATTAGATTTAAAAAAAAACATGTTTTAGATGTACAGACAAGTAAGGAAGTCTGAAACCTAGGGATAGATGATAATTTTCTGGACACTAAAATTTGGGAGGATATATAAGGGTATTTAAATATCTAGCTTTTCAAACTGCAGTTAGAGAAGCTCTAATATGTTGATACTGAATTAAAATATTAAATTAAGCATTTTAAGAATACTTAATTGTGTAGAAGAGGTTCATTCTAAGGATATTGATGATTTATAGTTTGAAGGCAATAAGACACTGAGATAGAAATCATTGCACGCCAGGGCCTCATCTGGAATAAAACGTCTCTGGGTATCTCAGCTGTAGCACTTTGTCACTCTTCCCTCTAGTGGCTGCCATAACAATTACATAATTGGTGTGGCTGCAACAACAGTTTAGATGAAGAGGTATTGTCACATGCTAGTTTCCTGGGGCTAAGGTTGTGATATAAACTTATAAGTTTATATGTTATAAGCAGAACATTGATGCATTTGGACACAAACAACTGCTACAACCAATGTAGAACATTAAGGAAGAAGGTTAGAATTATTTCGAATTAATTGTGATATATATCTCACAAAAAAAATGAGAGGCTTAAAAACAGAGATGTATTTGTTAGTTACACATCACTTCATTATCCATCTCCCTATCATCTTGCCTGGGGCATTTTTTATTGTTTCTTAAAACTAATCTCAAATGAGCCAAGCTAAAAAGCAATGTATTGCTAATATGTGTATTAGGTAAAAATGAGATATGATTCCTTGCTTTCTAGACATTCACGTTTTAAAAATATCAATTATTTTGTTTTCATCAACTATGTATTTTGTAATCATAGTAAAACATATTTACAGGATAATTTATATATAAAAGATCAGGAAATATTTCAATGTAAAAATTAAAAATCTTGTCCTATATTAAACCTAACAATATTGGAAATAATCACATACAAAAATGGGTAAATTGTGTCTGTTCTACATTTTTAAGTGATTCTAACGTACTTGCTTTTAGCCTACAGAGAGCTATCAAAAAGTGTCAAAAATTATGAAGTTTAAAATAATTGTAATGACAAAATTTATTCCATATTCAAATAAAATTTAAAGTATTGATTTCTTGAAGTACAAATATGGATTAATGAAATATTCATTTTCTCCAAAAGTAATCATTTTTTACTGATTTTAACAAATACATTTTTGGTAAACAAAAAAGAAAATTCAGAAAAAACATTTGTTATTCTCTCAATACTTTTTCACACGTAAATGCTACAGACATGTACACACCCACATATGCAACTAGATGACTTCTGCTACATTTCAATTAACATATAAGTATTTTCGTGTTTTTAATATTCTTTGAAATTGTGGTTTATAATAGCTGCATAAAATCTTACCATATGCAACTACTATGTTTTAACCAGTGTCTTTCTTTTGGACTTTGGATTTTTTTCTAATCATTCACAAAAATTCTCCAATAGATTTTGTTATAAGAAATTTGTAAATGGTACCAAAATATAGTCTATGAAAATGATAAATTGAACTTTCAATTGAAAATCTTTTGTTTGGGGAAAGACACAGCTAACAAAATAAAAGGGGCAAGCTAAAGATTGGGAAAAATATTTTCTAATAACATATTTGAGTGTCTAGGGTATACAAAATATTCTTGAAATCTACAATAAGGCCAGGAATAGTCTACACTCACTCCTGTAATCCCATCACTTTGGGAGGCTGAAGGGGGAATATCCCTTGAGCTCAAGAGTTTGAGACCAGCCTGGGCAGCATAGCCAGAGCTCATCCCTACGAAAAATTTTAAAAATTAGCCAGCTGTGTTGACATGCACCTTTAGTCCTACCTACTCAGGAGGCCGAGGCAAAGGACTGCTTGAGCCCAGGAGGTCGAGGCTGCAGTGAGCCATATTGTGTGACTGCACTAGCACCTGGCAACAGAGCCTGACCTTGTCTCAAAAAAGAAAAAAAAAATAAAACAATAAGACAACAAGTAACACTACAAAACAAAGAGTAAAAGATGTGAGCAGATACATCACTAAAAGAGATAAGAATGTCAAATAAGACCATGAAAGTATGTCCAACAGCATTAACCACTGGGCAAATGAAAATTAAAATTATGATGAGCTATCTACATACCTATTAGAATGGCTTAAAAAACAAACAAAAAAACCAAAAACATAAACAAAAGTATTCCAACAGTTCCAACTGCCAATAAAGACCTGAGGAGTCTGGACACCATGACTCACACCTGTAATCCCAGCAATTTGGGAGACTGAGGCAGGCAGATCACCTTAGGCCCGGTATTGGAGACCACCCTGGCCAACATGGTGAAACTGTCTCTCTCTCTCTCACAAAAACCCAAAAAACAAAAAACAAAAACATGAGGAACCATATCTTCTATATATTACTGGAGCGACTACAACATGGTTCAGCCATACTAGAAAAGTTTGGCAGTTTCTTCAAAATTAATCCTGCCCTTAATTTATGACCTAGCAATTATGGTCTAGGGTATCAACTGTACAGATATGAAAATTTACACCTACACAAAAATGTATATAGCAGCTACATTCATAGCTGCCAAAAGCTGGAAATGGCTCAAATGTCCTTCAGTGGCTGGTGTTCTATGATAATTTTTTTAATTTATTTAAAATTATAACATATTCACTGCTTTAAAACAGCATCATTCTCAAGTTTTGACAATTATGAATAAAGCTGCCTTAAACATTCATTTGCAGGTTGTTGTGTGGACATAAAGTTTCAACATTTTTTGGTAAATACCAAGCAGCTTGATTACTGGATTATACAGTAAGATTTCCTTCAGCCAGAGAATGGATAAATAAGCTACAATATACCCAGACAATGGAATATTATTATGTGCTAAAAAGAAAGGAGCTATCAAGCCATGAAAAGATATGGAGGACACTTAAATGCCTATTACTAAGTGAAAGAATTCACTCTGAAATTCTGGAAAAGGCAAAAACGTGGAGACAGTGGAAAGAACAGTGGTTGCCTGGAGTTAAGAGAGAAAAAGAGATTAATAGGCAGAGCACAGAGGATTTTTCAGGGCAGTGAAAATTATGTTTCACATACCATTATTCAAACCCATGGAATGTACACTGAGAATGAACCTTGTAGACCATGGACTTGAGTGATGATGTGTCCATATAAATTCATCAATTGTAACAAATGTATCACTATTGTAGGGAATATTGATTATGGGAGAGGCTATGCATATGTGGCAGAAGGGGGTATATGAAATACCTCTGTATACCTTCCCCTAGATTTTTAAGTGAATCTAAAACTGCATTAAAAAATATTTAATAAAAACTAAAATTTCTAGTAAAGTACGACTTAAACTAAAAACAAAACAAACAAAAAACTTTGCATAACATTATGTTAAAAAAATATGTGCATCTCTCATTGTTATCTACTGCCTTTGGATAATTGCAGTCAGCATGTCAAAAGACATTATAATTTTTTACATAAAAATATATTTGTTGGGAAAAGTACACTTAATCAAAAGCACATGAGATTGCCCGATTCCTATACTTTAGTCAATTCCAAATCTTAAAGTGTTTATTTTTTGCCAAAACATCAAACTATATTTACTTCTGTCTAAATTTACATTCATTTGCTTACAACTGAAGTTGATATTTGTTTTTATATTTCTGGTTCATTTGTATTATTCTTGTTATTTTCCTTCCCTCTGTGACATTTTATTAAGAACATTTCCACCCTACAAGAATTTGATATAATTGATTTGCTTGGCATTGCTTTTGCCTCCAGTGGTCAGGAAATTTTAATTTGTTTTCAGCCATTCACTAAATGAAGATGTACAATTAGACTGCAACTTTGAAGACATAACTTCCAGCATGTTATTAGTTGGTTATGTCTCTCTCATCTGCTTAGCTTTGAATAACAACAGTGCTGTGAGCTGTCAGTGACTACTGCACAAACTGTGAAATTACACTGTGAAGCAAATTTGATTGTACTGAAAAGACTCTCCACAGGACAAAAGCATAGATCTCTCTTCACACAATTTTGGACTCGTGCTAATGACTCATACGGTTACAGAGCAGCCGCCAAGAAACGGTGTAAGAAGCCTAATGAATAAAAGGGACATATTGCCTGACTGAGTTATGCTCCAGAGCATTTTAGCACTTCGATCATAGAGTGGCATGTAAAATCAAAATTCTGATTAAATTGGTGCACTTTTTTACTCCTGAGACCTAGGACTAACTTTATTCTGTAAGATGCACAAGTTACTAGAAATTTTCATTCTGTTCATTAAAGTAGGTTACATATTTCTGTTTAGGAAAGAACTGAAGTTTTCCTTAGATATCATTTTGAAAATTCTATATTACCCCCAAACATATCTATAACTTTTATTTTAATAGAACTCTTATTGCATATATGTGTGTGTGGTTGTGTGTGTGTGTATGTGTACTCTGAGAGTAAATGACATAAAACATCAAAACTGAAGACAGATACCTTTCTAAAGTCTTCGAGTTTTGATTCTTGGAATGACTACACATCTGATTGGAATGCTTATTTATTAACATATAAGATATAGATAATATGATATAATATCATATAGCATATTGCATTTAGATATGCTAGAATTATTGAATTTCTTGAGGTTTTTGAGAAAAGCCGAGGAGCTTTTTTAGGGTTTGTGGTAACAATTTAAAATTAAAAATTGTTTTCAAGGAATCACTACTATGAAAATGGGTTTTCATAGTTTCAGGCTTTAGTTTCAGCAAAAGTTCACATATTTTCCATACTACTGTTTGCAACATTTGATATATTTGTTTATTGAGGCAATAGGTATTGTTATCATAAATAAAGCCAAGCTGGGCACGGAGGTGCACACCTGTAGTCTCAGCTACTCGTGAGGCCTGAAAGTGGCTTGAGCCTAGGGGTTCAAGTCCAGCCTGGGTGACATAATGAGACCCCATCTCTTTCTCTCTCTCTATTTTTTAAGATAGGACAAAAATTATATATGTGAACTCTCTTGTGACTGGTGTTTCTTTTAAGAAAAATACAACCTTATAGAGGTAATTTAAAAGAGTAATTTATAAGTATGCCCATCATTAATTAGTTATAACTCTCTTAAAATAATTTTTGGAAGATTAATAATTTGTTCCCCAGATGATAAAGATAAACTGATACCAACAGTTTTCCTAATTGTTTCTTTGAGTTTGGTAATTACATCCTCTGGAATAAAATGAACTGCAGAAAGAGATGAAGTTTGCCTGCCCTTTGCCAGGGTCCTCCCGTGTCTACCCTCTCCTCAATCATGTTCAAGACTTCCACCTCAGATTTTATGCCGAGCAGAGCCCCAGCTCTATGGTTCTCCTGGTGCTTTCTCTAACACCAGCACAGTCAAAAACCTATTCAGTCCTTATCACCATGCTTTCACCTTGCAGTGGAGATTTTTAGCCTTCTGATATACCAACAAATTGTGTTAACAGTGGATTCAAGGGCAAATTCATGAAACACCCAATATTTTAAATTTGCTTTTGTGAAGTCAACAATCCTACCTTTGTTGCTGTAAAAGTTGATATTCTCTCTATGAGTATCTATAAAGCAAGTTCCATGCCACAAGTTGGACACCAGTTTCCAATGTGAGTGACCCTTCATAGTACATGAAGCTCTACAATAACACACAAGTGATTGCTTATGCTTGATAAAATTACCAACAGTAACTTAAAATAGCATTATTTTATTGAATTTCGAGGGCTTAAGAGTTCAGTAAAGAAAATTATTAAACCTAAGTTTTTAGTTAATATACAAAATAGAGAAAGGAAAAAGTTAATAAATTATATAAATGTTAAAATGGATAAGCTCATTAAAAACCCATTACTTCTATTGCAATATCAGTAAAAGCTTAATAGGTTGTGATTATGGGCCAATTTTCCAGCTGAGGCTTCTTGTTCTTGCAAAATGTAAACAGGAAGAGAAAGCAGTTTGACATCAAAATTGTGTTACAACCAGATTTCATTCCAATTAAAAAAATAAGCCAAGTCTAAGCACATTTTTTATTAACCTGTAGTATTTTATATTAAAATATATACATAAGATTTTATGTGTACAATTTGTATATGTGTGTGTGCACATATGGTGCCCACATATTTTTATAAAAGATGTTTTGCTACTTTGATTATGATCCCCATGTAGAAGAAATTCTTAAAATATGGATCCTTTCTTCCACTATTTTTCAACCATTGCTGTTTTATCAGATTTTGGAAGTGCTTATTAAATTGCTTCCTAGACACAAATTCTCCATTAAGCATTGCTTAGAACAACAAAACAAAACAAAACAAAAAACAAAATGCTTTCATTGCTTATAACTGTATGGCACACTCAGCTGCTGTCATTTTTTAGACATTTATAATTGAACCAAATTTATGGAGTCTGATTCATTGAGCTCTTAAAACACTCTGTCTCCCTAGCTTTTGATTCTTTTTTTAACCACAATATAGCAACTCAAGAGGATCACTTTTTAAATATCCCCCCAATATGGTATCATCACCCAACATCCTTAGTTTTAAAAAGAGTAGCACTTTAGTGATAACAGATTGTCAGTGCCCTATTATTTTTATCAGCTATCTTGACTCACCACTTAAAATTTAATAAAATCCACGGATGATATTGAATATATTTTAAGTGTACCAAATATAACATTTATGTCAAATCTTCACCATTTTAAATGTCTTCATTTTGTCTGATAAATGATATCAAGCCTGATTGTCACTTTCTAAGTCTTTTGGATGTTTATTTTTTGTAACCTTGAATAAAATGTCACAATATGTTTAAACTGCTCCTATCATCACTATTATCAAAACAATGGATTATGGAGAGGATGTGATAACTTGGTACATGTCTATTGTTTAAAACATTCTTATGACTATATCTGCAGAATTTTTGAAGTCCAGCATAAAGTCAGACTTCTATTTGGTAAAGAGTACGTGGCATTTTCTGAGCATCAGTTATACAGAAGATGAAACAAGCCAAGCAACAGATTAATACAATTTAAATACTTTAAATGCATTAACTATCATTAACAGAAAAGAACTCTTCTAAGCCGATCTGCATATCCTCAAGATTTGAAAATAGTCTAAGGCTGAACAAAGTCTATTGTATAAAAGTAGAAAATACTATAGATATTCCACTGTTGTAATATTGTTTATCCATGTTTATATAGATACATGTGTTACAAAAGTACACATAAAATGGGCAAGTAGAAATATATAATTTTGAGAAGTCAACCTGACATTATATATGCTAAAAATAAGCCAAAGGAGAAAAATACTGATACATAGCTCTCATTCTGACCCTGAACATAGCATATACTACTCCAAAGAAATAAGAAATTAATGGTTACTATGGCTGTATTATTTATTTATTTATGAAACATACTGCTAGTCAATATAATAGGTAAAATTGCTCAAGATGTTTTATCCTGAATTGCAAATCTTGAGGTATTTTATGGTCGATGTTAGAAAATAGAGCTGCACTTGTTTACCTAGAGATTTCTGGAATCTACAGAAAAATAAGATTCTTATTAAAATGAACAACTTTCATATTTTTTAAAAGGACTTAACTATATTCTACAACTAAATACATAGCTAAGGCAAAACAACATAAAATATTTAAAATATTAAATGGAAAGCAATATGTTTACCATGAATATATTTACAAATAGAAATCAGGTTTTGGTCATTTTGCTGTGGCAAAATAGCATTCAAGGAAAAGCTCTACAGAAATCAAAAGGGGATTTTATATTAATAAAAGATATAGCCTACAATTATTTCAACCAAGATGGTATAATAATCGGCTATGCATTTTAAAATAAAGTATTAAAGTATTTTAACATTTTTAGAAATAAAAGATATTTTATTTTTTAAATTTTAAATTTAAAAATGTTAGATATTAAAAATGTATAATTGTATTTAAGAAATTAATAGTCTTTTGTATGGAACAATCAAGTAAACAGAAAATAAGGACATACAAGGTATGAATTAGCTCATTAGGATTATTTTGTTTTTCTATATATAATAAAAACAAGCATAACTTTGTATACATATGAATTATATTTATATACATAAAATGTTTAATCACCTACAGAATATTCACATGATTAGACAAAAAAAATTGTGTATTTTAAGAGGTAGAAATCATTCCAGTTATGCTACATTACAAATATTAATATTTTCAGCCTATCAAAAGAAATGATGAAAATAAATCCATAAACTAGGAAATTATTTATAATGCTCTTCCAAAATAAATTATTAAATTAAATGGAAATCAAAACTGATTGCTACAGGAGATATTTTTCAGCGTGTAGGAAGCAACATGGTGTTTATTCCTTGTGTTTGAACTTTACATATATTCTTACTCAGTGTATAAACATGGGTAATTTACTTAACATTATATAAAGTAGTTCACTGAAAGTAATTATCATAATGTTTGTATGAAAAAAACCTTAGAAATATATAATTATTAACACATTTATCAGAGAAAAACATATAACCTTAAGAATATTAATTTAAAAATAAGGAAGACTGGAAATAAACATTCAACTCAAGTACATTTAAAAAATACGTTAAAAAAACAAAAAAATTGAATTATTAATGAATATATAAACCAAATTAATGAAAAAACATGACCAAATAACCCACTGATTTGAAGAATGACATTCACATCTCTTTTTGTGGAAACATTAATAAAATTAACAACTAAGAAACTCTTAAATCTAAGAACAAAATTCACTAAGAATATGTTAGATGTGAATATATAAAAATGCTTTATCTTTTTTATATGTCAACAGCAACACAACCAAGAGTGTGATGGAGTATAAAAGAATACATTCACGAAAGCAATGACTGCTATAAAATATTTAGAATTAATTCCAACATGTAACTTGTGAAATCACATCTAAGAATGTGAAACTTTATAAAGAATACATAGCAAGAACGGATAACATGGAGATGCACACTAAATTCCAGAACATGAATTATAAATATTTTAAATATTTACTTCTAGAATAAATTTATTCATACACTCAAAGCAAACCCAAAAGAATTTTTAATAGAGATGGTTAAAATGAGTTTAAATATCATAAAAAATGAATACTTTCAACAGCATCCTTCCAAATTAAATATAAACTTGAAGAGAAAGATAACTTGTTCTGCTCAATGTGAAACAGGGAATTATTCTATATAGTAATAAGAATTACAACAAAAATATTTGATTTGGAATAGTCATATAAATCATAGCAAAACTGAACAATTTTTTAGATATTTAACTTCAGGGGATATTTTAGATCAGTGGAAAATAAACTCTTCTGTTCAATAAATGACTGTCCTATTTAATTTGGAGAAACAAATTTAAACTCACAAAGTGCACAAAAGTAAATACCAACATTTTTATTTTATATAAATAAAACAAAAATTATACAGAATTTAAGAGTAATTATATGAGAAATTTTATAATCTTTGTGTGAAAAAGATTTTTTTCTAATTAAAACACTATATCAGGCCGGGCACGGTGGCTCACACCTGTAATCCCAGCACTTTGGGAGGCCAAGGTGGGTGGATCACAAGGTCAGGAGATCAAGACCATCCTGGCTAACATGGTGAAACCCTGTCTCTACTAAAAACAAAAAGTTAGCCGGGTGTGGTGACGGGTGCCTGTAGACCCCGCTACTCGAGAGGCTGAGGCAAGAGAATGGCGTGAACCCAGGAGACAGAGCTTATAGTGAGCTGAGATGATGCCACTGCACTCCAGCCTGGGTGACAGAGCAAGACTCTGCCTGAAACAACAACAACAAAAAAACGCTATATCAAAATTCACAAATGGAAACAAATTAATATATTTGATTAAATTAACAATTCAAATCTTTATCAAAAGACAGATCAAGTTAAATAAAAAATAAGTTAAAAGTGAAATAAAAATTTAAGGTTTGAAAAAATATTTAAAACATGAATAACAGCAAAAAAACTAAGAAGTATTCCATATAAATTCTTCAGCACATCAATAATGTAAACATCTATACACACACATGCTCATAAAGCAGCAAAAAAAATCTGGGAGTATAAATATGAAAATGTTAACTATGATTACTTCTGTAAGAGAAGTGATTTGAAAAAGATAATAAAATGAAGGGCTTTTAATTATTAGCTTTATGGTCCTTACGATTTTTTTTTTTTTACTTAGAAGACTGTGACAATATTAATTTATTTTGTACAACATTTAGAAGAAAATTAGTATTTACCACTAGAAATTGGGGAATGTGTAATATGCGCATTGACCTGGAAGCAAAACATAAAACAGGGAGCCACTCTTTAGCACATCAAAGAAAAATAACCAAACACCTAAGATAAAGCCAATGCCTGGAAAAAAGTTATGAAAACAGACAAATTATAGTGATGTCAGAAATACGGCAGAGCAGGAGATCCTGTTCTTAGTTTCACTCCCTGCCCTCCCCCACCACACAAATACAAAAGGACAAAAGAAAAAACACTATGATTAGATAGCCATCCATAAACAAAAATAGCTCTGAGAAAACTCAGGAGTCTAGTTACACAGTGGAGAAGAGAAGAAGCATGACCACACGGAAAGGGCAGGAACAACATTTTTATTTTGCCTGCATAATCCCGTTCACAGGCCAATTTACACAGAGCCTAGAAGTATCTCCTCAGCCTCAAGTAGGGGCTTTGTGGGGAAAAAGAAGAACAAGATGAGTGACCAGCTTCCACAGTATTTTTGGGCACTACCTGAAGGATTTACTTTGGTTTCACGCCATCCAAAATACTAGGGAGATTGTCACAAACGAGATACTTGGAGGTGTTAAAGAGAAAGAAGAAGGGTGGAGTCTATTGGTATCAGTCATGTAGGATGTGACAACATGGTTTGCAGTGCCTCTGCAGAGGACCCCAGTAGTCTTCCCCGCTAAGGACCCCAATTGCTGCTGTGGAACCCCACATCTTTTCACTGCTAAGAACTTTATAATGTTCACTGCCATTCCACAGAGGAACCTAGCAGCTTTTGCCACTGAGAAAACCAACAACCATTTTAGCCACCATGGACCCCCAGAGAAGGAGACACTGCTGTGCTCTCCTCGTAATGGAGCTATACTGCACCACCAAGGGGCTGGGACACTCCCTCTTCAATCCTTTTATAAGCGTATTTCCCACAGACCCAAAGTCATAGGTGCCCTGTGCTTGCCCATGCTTCAGACCACAGCTCTGTGAACACTTTACAGGCACCCATACCTGACACAGTTGTGCCACTGCTGCAGTGGGAACACCTGCAATCTAGATAACAGTGCCACCAGTGCTGAGGGCATACTCACACTCTGTTTCAGATATCAGTTCCATGACTACTTCATTGACTCCCACACATGATCTACTGATGCCACTGCCATTGTAAATGTCCTGCCATGTGAACCTGACACCAAGAGAGATCTTGACCATGATTTGATGATGCTATAGGGAAAAAGAGATCAGATAGACCCCAGCAATTTTCCAGCTGAAGACCCCAACAGTTCTCACTGCTGCTGCAGAAAGCTGCAGCCTTGGTGGCCAAGAATTCATGCAGTTTTCACTGATGCTGACTTCAGCTGACAGAGCTGCACAGACACTATGCTCAGATGCTGGAATCACCGCACTTTCTTAACTACCATCCTTGCACTCATTCACAAATGGAGGTCTTTCCCTACCAAAACAAGTCAGTAAAGTCTGGAGGGGTGATTGATTCTTAAAATGCACAGACATTAAGGCAAGCAAAAGCCTTAAAGAAACACAAAAAAATCAGGGAAGATGACACCACCAAAAGAACACAAGAATTTTCCAGTCACCAACTCCAAAGAAGTAGAGATTTATAAATCATGAAAAAAGAATTCAAAAGAATTGTTTTTTAAAAGCCAGTGAGCTACACAACAACTCAGAAAACTCAATGAAATCAGCAAAACAATACATCAACAAAATTAGAAGTCCAACAAAAAGTACTGAAAGAAAAATATTGCCATCTATAAATACTACATTTGGCAAAATTATTATTTTTGAAATGAAGAAGAGATAGTCTTCCCAAGACAACAAAAACTGAGTTTCACCACTAAATCTGCCTTACCACAAATACTTGCTGGAGTTCTTGAAATTGAAACAAAACCATGCTAAGCAGCATCATATAAGGATTTGAAAACATAAATATCACTGGTGAAGGTAAACACAAAGGCATATACAGATTAAGGTAATAAAATGACTTCAAAATAGAAAACAATTAACAAAATGATAAAAAGGAAAGTCCTCCATTTATCAATAATTGTATGGAAATGAATTAAAGTCACCAATCAAAAGACTGTATGGATTTTTTTAAAAACCACATGCTGTCTAGAATAGACTCACTTTAGATTCAAAGACACACATAGGCCGAGAATAATGAGATAGGAAAAGAGATTTCAAGCAAATGGTAACGAAAAAAAAGCAGAAGGGGCCATATTTTGTATCAAACAACCATATTTCAAGTTTAAAGCTGTCTCTAGAAACAAAGAAGGTCATTATGTAATAATAAAAGGGTTATTTCAACAAGAAGATACAGTAATTATATAAGTGGCCAACATCAGAACACTTGTAAAGCAGATATTGACAGACCTGAAGAAAGAAATACAATGATAGTAGGGGACTTCAATACCCCACTTACAATAATGTATATAATATCCAGACTCAAAAGGAAGAGAATAGCAACTGACTTGAACAATGCTATAAGCCAAATGGACCCAACACACATACACAGACTTTCCACCAAACAATGGAAGATTATACATTCTTTCTAAGTGTATGCATAACATTCTCCAGGATAGATCACAACAAATATAGATTTTTTAAAAAATGAATTGGTTTCTGAAAAGATAAACAAAATTGACAAACCTTTAGCTAGATTTTAAAAAGAGGAAGAAGACTTAAAGTCAGAAATTAAAGAAAAGACATTACAATGATCTCTCTGTATAAAAGAGGATCATAAAAGACTACTATGAACAATTATATGCCAACAAGCTGGATAATTCAAGAGAAGGTGATAATTTCCTTGTAACACAAAACTACATCAAGAAGAAATAGAACATTAAATGATTGATACGATAAGAAGATTGAATACTAATTGAAGTCTCCTAGCAAAGAAAGGCCCAGGGGCATATAGCTTCACAGCTAAATTCCACCTAACATTCAAGATTTAATATAAATACTGATTAAACTTTTTTAAATAAAAAAAGAAGAGGGAAAACTTCCAGACTTATTCTATTAGGCCATTATCACCCTGATACCAAAATTACACAAAGACACTACAAGAAAATAAAACTATAAGCCAATACCCCTGATGAAAATAGATGCAAAAATTCTCAATAAAATACTAGATACTTTATTAAAATACTAAAATATTAATTTTATTTAATTAAACAGCATATGAAAGATCATACACCACGATAAGGAAGGATTTATCCCTGGAACACAAGGATAGTTCCACATATGCAAATCAACTAATTTAATACATCATAGTAGGAGAATGGAAGATAAAAGTTGCATGATCATCTCAACAGATGCAGGAAAAGCCTTTGACAAAATTCAATATTTATTGAAACTCTTAACAAAATGAGTATGAAAAGAATTAACTTCACCATGATAAAGATTATATGTGAAAAGCCCACAGCTAATCCCACGTAGTACAAGAAATTGAAAGCATTTCTATAAGATCAGGAACTAGGCAAGGATGCCCAACCTTGGCACTTCTATTTTGCATAGTACTGAAAGTCTTCACCAGAGCAACTAGTCAAATAAATAAATAAAAACATAGCATCCAAATTGGAAAAGAAAAGGTAAAATTGTCTTTGTCTGTAAATAACAAGATCTTACCATAAAAAAAACTCTATAAAAAACTTGTTAGAACTAATAAATGAATCAGTAACATTGCAGTATAAAAAATGAAGATTCACATCATCACTGGCCATCAGAGAAATGCAAATCAAAACCACAACGAGATACCATCTCACACCAGTTAGAATGGTGATCATTAAAAAGGAAACAACAGGTGCTGGAGAGGATGTGGAGAAATAGGAACACTTTTATACTGTTGGTGGGACTATAAACTAGTTCAACCATTGTGGAAGTTGGTGTGGCGATTCCTCAGGGATCTAGAACTAGAAATACCATTTGACCCAGCCATCTCATTACTGCATATATACCCAAAGGATTATAAATCATGCTGCTATAAAGACACATGCACATGTATGCTTATTGTGGCACTATTCACAATAGCAAAGACTTGGAACCAACCCAAATGTCCAACAATGATAGACTGGATTAAGAAAATGTGGCACATATACACCATGGAATACTATGCAGCCATAAAAAATGATGAGTTCATGTCCTTTGTAGGGACATGGATGAAGCTCGAAACCATCATTCTCAGCAAACTATCACAAGGACAAAAAACCAAACACCGCATGTTCGTACTCATAGGTGGGAATTGAACAATGAGAACACATGGACACAGGAAGGGGAACATTACACACTGGGGACTGTTGTGGGGTGGGGGGAGGGGGGACGGATAGTATTAGGAGATAAACCTAATGCTAAATGACGAGTTAATGGGAGCAACACACCAACATGGCACATGTATACATATGTAACAAACCTGCATGTTGTGCAAATGTACCCTAAAACTTAAAGTATAATAATAATAATTAAAAAATGAAGATTCAAAAATAAGTAACATTGCTATTCATTCACAATGAACTATTCCAAAAAGAAATTAAGAAAAAAATCCATTTGCAATAGTATCAAAAATGGAATACTTATAAATAAATTTAACCTAGGAGGTGAAAAATCGGTGCACTGAAAACTATAAAACATTGATGAAAGAAACTAAATAAGACACACATAAATGAAAAGATGTTCTACGTTCATGGATAAGAATAATTAATATTTTGAAAATGTGCATACTACATGAAGCAGTCTATAGATTCAATGCAATCCTTATCAAGATTTCAATGGTATTTTTTATGGAAATAGAAAATACACTTGTCAAATTTATGTGAACCAGAAAAGATCCAGAAGAGTTAAAGCATCTTGAGCAAAAAGAACAAAACTGGAGGCATCACACTTCCTAATTTAATATCATATTACAAAGCTACAGTCATCAAAACTGTATGGGACTGGCGTAAAAACAGACATAAAGACAAATGGAACAAAATAGAAAGCACAGAAATAAACTCACCCATATGTGGCCAGCTAATATTCAAGTCTTAAAGAATACACACTGAAAAAAATAGTCACTTTATTATATGGTTTTGGGAAAATTGGATATTAACAAGTAAAAGAATAAAATTGGATATTTATTTTACACCATACATAAAAATCAACACGAAGTGGATTCAAGACTTCAGCAAAAAAACCCAACTATAAATTCTTACAATATTGTAAGTTACATTTTCATTTTCTTACAACATATTACAATATCAACTTGCAATATGAGAGAAAATATCTGTAAACCACACATATCTGTTAAGGGGTTATTATCCAAAATATATAAGTAACTCATTCAACTCAGTGAGAAAAACTGATTTAAAAATGGGCAAAGGACTTTAATAGATATATTTTTAAAATCCTTACAAATGTCCAACAGGTATATAAAAAAGGTACTAGGGCCGGGCACAGTGGCTCACGCCTGTAATCCCAGCACTTTGTGAAGCTGAGGCAGGTGGATCACCTGAGGTCAAGAGTTCGAGACCAGCCTGGCCAACATGGAGAAACCCCGTCTCTACTAAAAATGCAAAAATTAGCCAGGCATGGTGGCATGCACCTGTAATCCCAGCTACTTGGGAGGCTGAGGCATAAAAATTGCTTGAACCCAGAAGGTGGGGGTTGCAGTGAGCCAAGATCGCACTGCTATACTCCAGCCTATGCAATGGAGTGAGACTCCGTCTCAAAAAATAATAATAATAAAATGCTAAACATCACTAATCATCAGGTAAATGCAAATCAAATCAAAAAGAGATATCCCTTATTTGTGTTAGAATACTATATTTGTCAGCGTTCTCTAAAGGGATAGGACTAATAGGATATATGTATACATGAAGAGGAGTTTATTGGGAGAATTGACTCACAAGAACACAAGGTGAAGTCCCAAGATATGTCATCTGCAAGCTGAGGAGTGAGGAAGCCAGTCCAAGTCCCAAAAGCTCAAAAGTGTGGAAACAAATAGTGCAGCCTTCAGTCTGTGGCTGAAAGCCCCAGAGCCCCTGTCAGATCACTGGTGTAAGTCCAAGAGTCCAAGAGATGAAGAACTTGGAGTCTGATGTTCGAGGGCAGGAAGCATTCATCAAGGGAGACAAACAGAGGTCAGAAGACTCAGCTAGTCTGCCCTTTCCGATTTCTTCAGCCTGCTTTATTCTAGCTGCACTGGCAGCTGATAAGATGGTGCCCACCCAGATTGAAAGTGGGTCTGCCTCTCCTGGTCCACAGACTCAAATGTTAATCTCGTTTGGCAACACTCTCACAGACACACCCAGGAACAATACTTTGCATTCTTCAATCCAATCAAGTTGAAACTCAATATTAACCACCACAGCTAGCTATTATAAAAAAATCCAAAAGATAACACGTGTTGGAAAGGATATGGGGAAAAGGTGATCTTTATAGATTGTTTATGGGAATATATATTAATACGGCCATTATGAAAAGTAGTATGGAACTTTCTAAAAAATAAATAATAGAACGGTAATACCATGTGAGCAAGGAACCTCACTTCTGGGTATATATTAGAAGAAAATAAAATCACTATCTTGAAGAGACATTTGCACTCTCATGTTATAATGACATTACACACAATAGCCAAGATATGAAAATAAACTAAGTGTTCATTGATGGATGAATGAATAAAGAAATATATATGAATATGTGGATGAATAATATTCCATTATATTTGTGACCTGTATACCATCATATATATGATTCCATATGAATATCATATATGATCCATATCATATATGATCCATATGAATCATATCATATATATGATGGAATACAGGTCACATATAATGGCATATAATATATACCATTATATAATATTGCATATATATGAGATGAAATACGGGTCACATATATAATGGAATATTACATAATGGTATATATTATATATCATTATATGCCATATATAATATATATAATGGTATATATTATATAATGGTATATATATACACACACACACATATATATATGATCTATCAAGGAATGCTATTCAACCTTAAAAAGAAGCAGATGCTGTTATTTGTAACAACAAAGAAGAATCGGGACAATTTATACTAAGTGAAATAAACGAGACACAGAAAGACAAATACTGCATGATCTCATATGTGGAACCTAAAATAGTTTAACTCATAGATGCAAAGAGTAGAAGGATAACTTACCAGGGGCTGTGGGATGTGGTAGGGTGGGTAAGAGGGAAATGAGGAAGTGTTGGTCAAAAGATACAAACTTGCAGTTATAAATTGAATAAATTCTGGAGATCTGATGGCTAGGGTTAATAATAATGTGAAGTATACAGTTGCCCCTCCATATCCATAGGTTCCACATTTACAGATTCAACCAACTGCGGATCCAAAACATTTGAAAGAAGAATAAAAATAACAATGCAACAAAAATTAATACAAATAAAAAATACAATGTAATAATTATAATATTTACATAGCATTTACATTTCATTAGGTATTATAAGTATTCTAGAGATGTTTAAAGTATACAAGCGGCTGTGTGTATGTAATATGCAAATACTACACCATTTTATATAAGGGTATCGAACATCTGTGCATTTTGGTATCTGTCAAGGGTCCTGGAACCAATCCCAGTGTTCAATACAGAGGGAAGATTGTATTTGAAATTTGCTAAGAGAATAAATCTTATATATTGTCACCACACATGTATACACAAAAAGTTAACTATGTGTGGTGATGGGTATGTTAATTACCCTATTGTTCTAATTATTTAACATTGTATATGTATATCAAAACACCACATTGTACATCTTCTATATATATATGTATGTATATATATATGACTTTTATTTTCCAATTATACTTTAATAGAGCTGGAAAAAAATCTATATCACTTTCCCATTGTCAGATGAATATCTATTACTTCATCTTTTTCTATTTAAACATTCTATTTTCAAAGATAAAATCAAAAGCAGAGCTGCGTGGAAGCACTCTCTGTGCCAAGTTGCTTTGGGGTTATAGCTGGACATCTTCCTAGCTAATGGCCATCTAGAAAGCCCTAAGGAAAGTTTCAGAAATACATAAGGAAATGTATTGTGGTGGAGAGGACTAAAAAGAATAGAGAGAGATGATATAAAATATTTCCTAGCAATTTATTACTTGAAGTTATATTTAATCAGTGACATTATGTTATACATACACTAAAGGTATTTGTTAAAACATTAAATGCACATATGTATTCTCAAATTTCTACTTAAATGTGGAGATATAAAAATAATGCTTTGATACATGACCTCTTTTTAATATTTGCTAAAAACTCTTTGCAAGAAGTATCAGGTGTGTAGATCAGAGAAGTGATAATTAGCAAGGTTTCTACTCTACTTAATCTTACACTTCAGCTGCATAAAATGAGGTGTTAGCTTTCTAAATTTATCCAAATGAACATCAGACTAAGCTATAAAATGCAGAAAGAAAACGCCATGAGAAAGTTGGTGAATTACGTCAAATTTCACTGCTGAAATACACATAAAGATTATATGCTATTTCAATTTTATTTTATTAATCTCTTTCATTTAATGGTTAGTTTGGAAGGAGGAGCATCTGGATGTAATGAATTTACATGTATTGATTTCTCTTCTTCCAAATATATTGTTCATATAACACAAAATGAATCATTTTTTATTTCTTGGAAAGAGTGCTGCTGAATATGCAAACAATGACACATCTTTGAAGTAATAGATTACAGGAGATTACTGAATTTTAAAAGCAAGGCTAATATAGACCCTATGCTATGTACAACAAAGGGCCAAAGATGATTGAGTCAATTTCATCCTGTGGAAGGTATCCTCTTATCTGTAGAATTTCAGCCTTATAAATTCTTGTTACAGAGAAAGATCCCAGTAAAGAGACGATACATTTCTAGAGTTCTAAACTAGAGATAACAGCTCTGGGCAGGAAATTTGGCTTAAATTTTACATATAATGTTACCCAGCTTTCTCCCTTATGATATGTTCTAAAATAAATTCTATCTACCCATACATTTATTTATTTATTCACCAGATATTTTAAGCAGCTATTAAAGGATATGGATGAAACAGGTATGGTACTTGTCATCAAATATCTTGGTTTAAAGGTCAGAATCATCATAGAATTTTTGAAAAATATAAATAAAATCATTAATAAAAATAACTTGTTGTTTATTTAGAATTAACATATACTGGTATTTTGCCAAGCATTTTGCATACACAATTTAAATATGTGTACTACTCTCTTAGATGTGAGTGAAGAAAAACCAACACGAAATCATAGCTGAGATCACCAAACATGTAACAAACATAAGAACTCAAATTTCTGCTTACTCCAACGCCTGTGCTTAACCATCATGTTAAGTTCCTGTGCCAAAATAAGATAGCCCTCACCTAAAAGACATAATGGCAACATTTTTCTTACCTTCTCTCTCAACTGAGAACAGTTATGACCTGCACTATTCATCAAGATCAGCATTCTTGCCTGGGATCCCTCGCAGCACTGGTGACCTTTAGTAAGTCAAGTACATTTCAGTCACCTCATTTTCCTCAAAATGAAGTTATGTCTCTCTTCATTTCCCTCTTTGCATGATTAGAAAGAATTTATAAAGAAAATAATTTTTAAATGTCAGGTATCTGTTGCCAGTTACAATAATAAATTGCTTGCAGACTACATCCCTTACGTTAACTATTTTATTATTATATTTTTTTATTATTATACTTTAAGTTTTAGAGTACATGTGCACAACGTGCAGGTTTGTTACATATGTATACATGTGCCATGTAGGTGTGCTGTACCCATTAATTCATTTACATTATTATTATTATTTTAACTTCTTTTTGAGATGGAGTCTCACTCTGTCACCCAGGCTGGAGTGCAGTGGCATGATCTCTGCTAACTGCAACCTCCTCCTCCCGGGTTCAAGCAATTCTCATGCCTCAGCCTCTCAAGTAGCTGGGATTATAGGCGCACGCCACCATGCCCGGCTACTTTTTGTATTTTTAGTAGAGACGGGGTTTTGCCATGTTAGCCAAGCTGGTTTCGAACTCCTGACCTCAGATGATCGATCCACCCACCTCAGCCTCACAAATTGCCCTGATTACAGGCATGAGCCACGGAGCCGGACCCTTATGTTAACTATCTTATTATTTAATTACAAAGTAATAGTCAGCCTTCCCATTGCTTTCCAAGGTGTTATTAAACGCCATTTTTCCACACAATGCATCTGTAATATACACTTTACTCAATTTGAGTAAATGAATTACTCAATGAATACTCAAAGTATTCATATATTGCTCTATTTTACTAGATAATTGGCGCATTATACTATATTGACTCTTTCTGCCCTTAAATCATTATTGATCAGCATTAGTGTATGTGTTCTACTTCTGCGTGATACTATATTTGACATTTAAATAACGTTTTGTTAATATAAAATGAAATAGAAGGTGGTAAAAATCACAGTTATCATGTTCTTTTTTTTTGCTTTTGCTTTTCTTGGATATTAATTGCATTTTATTTCAGTGTCTCATTTTCTTCCTCTACTGCAGACATTATGTTTAACTTCACCCTGTATATAAAAATTTATTTTTGAATGGGGGCAGAAGTAAAAGAAGGAGAGAAGAGACTGAATGGGATTTTTTTTTTTTTTTTACCATTTCAGAAAAGGCACAAATGCCTCATATTTCACTCCTAGTTTCCATATCATAATAGCTATGTTTTCTTACACGTACATAACACAAAAATTATTCTGATCTGTGAGAGAAATCTTGCGTACGTGATAGAAATGATCCTCTTTTTTTTTTTCAGGGAAAAAATGTGAGTTTCAAGGAGATTCTGGTATTGATTGGAGCTCACATATTACATGATCTTGGACTCATGTCTTTTGAGGGCAAATTGACCAAATGTCTACTCTTAACTCTCCCCAATTCTACATTTCTGCATCCTTTTTAAAAAGGGTTTTAGTTTTATTTCCAAATTTTACATAAGCTTCCCTCATTTTTAATCAAAGTAAAAACAAAACAAAAACAATTGCTTAGTTTTTGGAATCAGAAAATCTTAGATTCATATCCAAACTTTTTACCCAGCATAATTTGGCAAATTCTAGGTGTTTATGAAACTCAGTTTTTTCAGTTGTTATAACAACGAAATGAAATAATATATATAGACCAATATCACACATGCTCAAAAATATTATTAAAAATTATATTTTAATACAATGATCAATCTTGGTTTTGATTAGATTTTTGCTAACTTTAGACTTGGATAATATAAGTTACTTTTCATTACATTTGTTTTTGTTTTTTGTGTTTTGTTTTTTGTTCTTTGGTTTTTTTTGAGATGAAGTTTCACTTTTGTTGCCCAGGCTGGAGTGCAATGGCACGATTTCGGCTCACTGCCACGTCTGCCTCCTGTGTTCAAGTGACTCTCCTGCCTCAGCCTCCCAAGTAGCTGGGATTACAGGCATGCACCACCACACCCGGCTAGTGTGTGTGTGTGTGTGTGTGTGTGTGTGTGTGTATTTTTAGTAGAGACGGGGTTTCAACATGTTGGTCAGGCTGGTCTCAAACTCCTGACCTCAGGTGTTCCACCCACCTTAGCCTCCCAAAGTGCTGGGATTACAGGCATGAGCCACAATGCCCAGCCTTCATTACATTTTAAATAAAGAGACTTAAAGGAAAATTCTCTGTTATTCCTATCAAATATAGGAATCTACCTTACAATATTTAGCACTTTTATTAAAGTCACTTGGCCACTTTTAAGGCTACCAATTACATTTAATAGCTATCAAACGTTTATATGAAACCCCTAATCAATCATTTTGATATTAGTCACAAATATTTAATCCAGTACTCTAGATTTCATACTTGAGAATATTGCTCACTAGGAAAAAGTGACTCTAAGCTTTCAAGTTTTGAAATTAGGTTACTTTCCTCCAGAACATTTATGCTGTGAATAAACCTTGGCTCTTTATAGACATTTAGGTTTTTTTTTTTTTTATGGAAATAGTAAAAGGAAAAGAACACAGTCTAGTTATATATTTACCAAAACATACAACAATGTAAGTAAAAGTTCTAGCTAATTCAAGTGAACTTGATGATCTTTATTTGTAAATATTCTTCTACTTTATTAGAGTACTACTCTAATAAATTGGTTTTTCCAGCTCCAAGTAGAACAATCACTTTTTAATACATATATACGTCAACATGCTACAAAAACTCAATGTGCTTACTTCAAAAAGTTGATTCTTTATCCCAAAGAGAAGTGAAAAAGTTGTTTTTTTCATGTAAACTGTACACTCATGGAGTTTAATACAAAAATACTCAGGATAATTGCTTGAAAATTTCGTCTTACAATAGTAAATTAGAATCAAAACAAAATTATTCTCAATTGATCTTCTTCTATCATTCAAAGTAAGAAATATGTAAATAACATTAAAATTTAGCATTTCTAATCCAAGACTAAAAGAAAACAAGTAGGAAATAGGAAGGAAGATATATTTATTATGTGCAGTTATTTACAGTGTATGCACCTGGAAAAATTACATTTATCTCTGTTAATTTTAGGAGAGGTTTGTGTCAACTCCCCTGGGATAGACTTACACATCAGGTGTAATATCAAGCTAAGGCCAAGTATTTCAATCACTATAGCAGAAGTAAGTACTATTTCCTAAACTAACATATGCTCCACAATGCCTCATAACACAATAACTTTTAGCTATAAAAGTTTGTAGTTCAATATTCTCTATTATAACAGGAATAGAACCAACCATAGGTTTCCCATTACTCACATGTACAAAGAGACTTAGAAGGTAAAAGGTCATAAAAGATCATCTTGAAAATATGATATAATCTCTGAGAACCCACATTTTCAATCATCCTGCTGGATAAACAAAACTACTTATAGTTTTATCAACAATTGCCATGATTCCAAATCACCCCCGCCCCCTGCCAATTTATATTGACATTTTCACTCCTGAAGCACTAAATAATTTCTGAAACAGACAGAAAATAGATATGCCAATATACAGACAGTCAAATGTCTTCTTGATTATCTAAAGTGTGATGCTTATAAGCTGTGGGTTAGTAAAACTACCAGCCTTTGAAAAATTCTCAAATGTATTCCACATTTTTTAGAACAAGGTCGGGAGAGCTTTTCTCCACTCCTACAAGCTAGAATATGGTCATGGAAGAATGGTGGTAGGAGGAGCTCTAGGGGACCATAGGAAAGTGAGGTAAGGGGTTAAGTAGATATGGTCAAGGGGTTTCCCTCATATAATCATGATTGCTGCTCACATCTCTATTGTCTCCGTGGTTTGTATCTGCTCGCATATTTAATGGCTTTTTCTTTGTTACTGTGTGTGAGCGTATTCATCCTATAAACAACTTTCGGTGGACTGCTAACTTGACTTCCATCTGTCCACAAGCTGCTTCCTGCACTATTAGCACAACTTCTTCGAGCTTTTAGATATGTTGTTTTTTTCCCTCACTACTCTGGTTATCTGGATGGTAATCATCTCTTCTCTGTTTTAGAGGGAGTCTCCACAGCATGCTTTAGGTCCTTAGTGACTCAGTTCCTTTTTACCCAGACCATATAGACATTTCCTAGAAGTGTTAATTAATGGAGGATGAAGGTGAGAGGGGAAAAAAAAATCTATTGGGTGAGTTGAGTCAGAGACACATAGATACTGCTTCATCTTATCCCTATTATCACCCTCTGAGATTCATGCTGCACTGCACAATCTGACCCACTCTGTCAGATGTCTTCACCTGTGGCAAATTTCTCCTAATAAATTATTTATCTCTCCTACTCCTCCTCCCATCAAATATATGCCTGTATATTGGAATCCCAAACATAAGCCAAAATCAATTTCTTTTCTGCAAGATTAGTGGTTTACTATATCAAGGGATATTGATGATAACTTTGTTTAGTGGTCCTGAAGATTCCAAATAGTTCAAGAATCTCATCAAATATAACAACGCTTTTCTCACCCAACTATATAGAGGATTTCAATGCACAATTAGGCACAATGCCTAAATGTGCAAGCTGGCCTAATAGGGTTTAAATCAATCAAACAAATTTTTACTTGTCACATAGGATGAGAGAGGCATTTTCTTAGGCATTAGCGATATTATAGTAAAAGACAGACAAGGTCTCCACCCCCAAAAAGTTTATGTTTAAGAAGTCACATCTCTAGCCAACAAAAAGTATCTTTCAGAAAATGTCTAATTAGTTGACTTTATTGGTAGTATGACTGGTCAGATTATTAATCTGTTGATTTTCTATTTAAATAGCCATTAATCTATTGCTACCTATTTTTTTTTAAAAAAAGGAAGTTGTTACTATGAAGGAAAAATCGGAAATATTTACAGAGTCAGAAATGTAGAGGGAATATAATTATATATACATATATATAATTTATAAGTTATTTGGCTCTTTGAAACATTATGGAAATGAACCCACTCACCAGAAAATGTGAAAGAAATGCCAGATTTATCATTAATGTGATGTTTATTTCTAGAAAAAAAAATTGGTGTAACCATCTTCAATTCTTAATGTTATTATAAAATATTAATCCAAAACAGTATTAAGAGAGTTTAGGGTTAAATAAATGATTTTTCTTTATATTTGTTTTCCCTCCCCTACTGAATCCCTTAACAAAAGCTATAAAAATTTCTGATAATTTGATAATGAAAAATAGTAGGAGGTAATGATTCACCTTAAGCTCCAAATTCAAATATGCAGTTACAGTCAATTCATATCAAATTTAGTCAACTCAATTTAGGATTTTCTCAGTCAAATGAATGATTTCAATGAACTTGAATATAGGTTGCTGTTCTTTGTTCACTAATCTCCTGCCTTGTTCACACTGTTAACACTCATTTTTCCCATTTTTCTTCGTTAAGGCTGAACAGGAAATGGAAGGATCCCATTTGCCCCTTAAAGTTGTGCAACATCTGACTTTCTGTTCCTCTCAAAAAAAAAAAAAACCTATTAGGGAAAGTTACGTTAGGAAGCATAAATTCAGATTTGAGTCTAAATAAGTGATCTTGAACAAGTCACTTAATCTCTCTCTTTTTAAGTCTTCTCATCTGTAGAGCAATGATAATAATAGAAAGTATTTTATAATATTATTTTAAGTATTATCACTTCAAACAGTATCTGGTACACAGAATGCATTTGTTACATTTATGCTTGATATATTATTAAAGAGTATCATTAGGAAATGTAAAATGCATTTATATAATATTCACAATTATTACGTTGATGAGTGAATATCACACTTTTTTTACTGAGGAGGAATCTGATGCCTAAATGTATTAAAATTCATGACCAGCGTCATACAAAGGATGTCAAAAGTCAAGATCTGAACCCAAATTTTCTGAGACATCAAAGCATAAGCCACTCATCTCGGTTATTGTTACTACTGAATATGGTCCCTCAACAATAATTTGCAGATAAACAACCCTGTTAACCTGCCATTTATTTACATGTAAATATATTTTGTTCCCAAATATTTATAACGTTATTAAATGGAATGATAAAAGCAGCAATCTCCGTGTAATGATACAAACCCCTAAAAATAAAAAGATAATTCTATTTTATAAGGACTGTGATTCACTGATTTAATGGGTGATTCAGTTTGTTATAAATATTCTAGGTGATTTATTTGTCTTATTTTTTTAGGAGGGATGATAACCATCTTCTTACAATGGTGTAAGGGAAATTTTCCTTATTATTATTCAATCTCCACTCTGTGACTAAAAAGGGGGCTTGCCATAGATGTAAGGTAATACGTGAAGAAATATCTTTTTCTTTCTCCTATAAATATCATGTTTCTCTTTCTCCCTCCCAACACACATGTGCACACACACATATATCTATGCTCATTTATATGCAAATATATGCACATACCCACACACATATACATATACATATACATATACATACATGTGTAAGTGTATGCATATGCATCTCGGTAAATATAATACCTGAAAACTGAAAATTTCCAAAAAACTCAAGGGAAAAACTTTTTGTTTTTATTTTTTGTATTGCACTAATTTTATAGTACACTTGCAGGTCTTTACTATGGCCATCCTATCCTTTGTTCATACACAAAAATTTTAAATACAAAAATATACATCTTTCCAATAGAATGTTCTTGAAGGAGGGCTGTACTTGAAACTGAGTTACAATCCTGTCCCTACTATGCATTAGTTTTTGCATTGCTTACCCTCTTTGGGTTATTTTTGTGCCTTATTTGTAAAGTAAGTATAATGACATCAGTAAGTACCTTGTAGCGTTTTGTGAGAATTCAATTAGTATGCATAAAGTTATTAGAACAAGAATGGACACATGATATTTGTTCCCTTCAGGTATGCTTTCCACTTTCCCTAGATTTAATTTGTTACAGCTGTTATATGACTTCTATATGTGCAAGTTCACAGTCATCATTTCCACATCTTTTGTGTTTTTTTTCCTACCTACATTGTAGAAGAATTTCTCTTTTGATTACCTTCAATTACTTTTATTCCTTTTTAACTCTGTCATGAATATAAATTTCATTTATTTATTTTTGCCTTTGTCAGGCAGTGGGTATCAATTTTAATGCATGTGCAATCCTTTCTTCTTCCTCCCATGATTCACTTTTTATTTCAGTGTATTGTCATTTGTCTAATTTGGGTCCCATTTATTTTCATCTTCTTTTCCCTTGTATCTTTCTTAACATTATTTCATATAACTTTACCTTCCCTTATGATGCTGCAAGAAACTGTTTCCTCATACCCATGATGGTTGTCTTTGTTTGACCAGGAAAGAAATTTTCTGATCAAATGTTTGCTAACAGACAATAGGCATGGATTTTTCCTTGGGCTGTCTCATTTCTACATAGGAGCTAAAAAACTAAAGAAACTAAACAAAACTAAATGTCTTTTCATGTTGGGGGTGGAGGACAAGTTCATTCACACCTTCTAGACTACTTCCTGTGCCCTAGAAGTTATAGAGGAATTTTACCTATCTTGGATGGTTTAAGATTTGCTCCTGCTCCCACAATTTCTATTATTATTTATAAAATGAATAAAGTAAAATTTACAATATCCAACATGTCATTTACCAAAACATTTTTTTCTTTTCCACCTTTAGAGCTTTATTTATGAAGACCAACAAATGCTCCTTCCATCAGACTATAAAGATAATTACTTCAAATCGCCAAAGAATCATCTGTCAATTTCAAGAGGTAATATCTTCGATAAGAGATGATAGCTAGAAATTTTAATTGACCAAAACCCTGATGTCTGAGACAATGAGTAAGTTTCTAAGAATCTTTCAATTTTCCTAAGGTTAGAAGGTTTTGTTCTGTTTCAAACACAGCATGATAAGCCTAAACCACTAAACAATGTTCTCACTGTAGCACAATAGGCTTTGTATTATATGGCCATTCCCCTCCTATGTTAGAAACAGATTTATTATTAGTTTCCTTGTTATAAATTACAAGATTATATTTTTATTAATTTTTATTCTACATATTTCAGTGAGAAACTGAATAAACTCTATTAGCAACCCTATCCCATGTTGACGTATCTCTCAGAAGTACTTCAGAGTTCTGTGGCTACTGGATCATATAATAGACTCATGCAAATATTTTTCTTAGCAATTATTTTATTTTGAATAAGTAATATTTATGACAATGTGTTTTCCCCATCTGGAAATGAATTATTTAAAAGTATGTTTATAATAAATGAAAATGGTAAAATATTTCATAAAAGTTATTTGGTTTAGTATTTAACTTTCAAGAAAAATGAAAACATTTGCTCCTTAAAATTTATTCACTTTTTCATTTTGTAAACTTCCAAAATAAGTTTTGAGATTTGAATTTCTCTTGCTTTTTTTTTTTTTTGAGTCATAATAATTCTTCAGAAATGTGAAAAATCTCATGGTCCACAAAGATTTCAATTCGACAAAGTGATAAAGGCATGAAAAGTTGAAATAATGAAACATATGACTTGCAGTGAGAAAAAGACTTTTTTTAACCACATTTTTTTAAGATCACAACTACTATATTAAGGTGGAAAAACTCTTCAAGGACAAAAGAGAAGACTCTGATTCACTGCTCCAAAGCCATATATTTTTAATAAGTTTTATATAAATCCTAAGAAACTGTTTTACACATTAATAAAAGTGTTTGCTTTAGAAAATAGAAGCAATGCACTAGGGCTTTAGATGGTCTTTTTCTTGGAAGGCAGCTCTGAACTCTTAAATAACTTACCTTTCAGTCAAAGATAGCCATGGGATATACTCACAAATGAACACATTATATGTACCATGTGAAAGCCAAACTTGGTGTTTTATTCATTGAAAATCATGAAACTGTCATTAAGTTACCTTAAAAGCTTTTCTAGAAACAGTCCCTCATTGACTTACTAAAAAACAAGTGATATAAGGAACCATATTGATATGGTTCACCAAAAGTGAACCACAAATTTATATAAAATCATCTTCATAACCTCCTAAATTTTCCATTGAGGACTACAATACTCCCAAAATATTTTGGAAATTTCACATAAAAATTTTTATCTAAACTACATGCTACAAAGCTAAACTACAATACAGTAGCCACATTATTTCCAGAATAAACTGTTTTCTTTTTATTCCTCATGAGCTAAGCATTATGGTTGTAAAACTACACCTACGTAATATAAAATTTATTTTCGGGCGCAGCTCTACATGGCGGTTTTAAGAAAATCATCTGTTCTCCCATATGGATCCCAGCTTTCTCTTGATATATGCTGTCAAGAATTGGTAGGACCAGGCTCTATCTCCCTGTTCTATCATAATTCCTAGCTATAAAAAGGCCACTAATAATCAGAAACATAATAAAAACTTAAGTCTAGGAATTATATTTCAATGCTTATAGTTTCCCCAAATCATCACAAATACTTATCACAAAATTCTGTCTGTGAAAAATAAATGTTGTGATGAGAATAAGGTAACATGGGTCCCTTATTTATTTATGTACTATTGTTGGCTTCTTTCTTGAATAAAACAAGTCTAATGAGAAAATAATCACTAATATTTACCCACAGACACACACTCACAAATAATATGTGGTACCAGTTGCAAAAAAAATCAAGAGCTGATCTTCTTGGTCCTATAATCACTTGAATGATCATGTTAATTAGGCTAATACAGCACAGTAAACACAAATTGTCCTGAAGTAAGGTTGTAAGGCCCACTTATGTTTGTGGTTAAGGGTGTTCACAGTAGTATCAATATTTAATTGTTCTTTTCAGTTATTTGCCCAATTCCTTTTCACTACTTTAAAATACAGAGTAGGTCACTGGGTAAGATGGCGAACAAACAACATTCGTGAGAAATTTCCCCCTAAAAGTGATTCACCATGAGGTGAGAAGTTTCTAGATGTCAGGCAGCAGCAGCTCAGAGAGGTATCTCAGGGCCCAATTCTATAAAAAGGGTGTGAGTTGGATGCCCCTTACACCCCAGCAATGTGATGCTTTGAGGAATAGTTGCGGCCATACTGAAAATGTATGATGAGCATGTAGGTATGTTAAGAATGCTTTCCACTCGGAGAAAGCCTTCACACCCTGCAATGGCCATGCCTGAATTTGGAAAGGAAAAGGTATTAATGCAGGGTGAAAAACTCTTTGTGGGTAGTGTGCCTGAGCTTCAACACAGATGATAAGAGACCAAAGAGTCCAGCATATGCAGGAGTGTTGACCTATGAACCATCTGTATCAGAATTGCCACTTGAACCAGATTTCTGGGGGAACATCCAGGGAATTTTTAACAAGAATTCCAAATAAACCTTGTGTATAATGAATTTTAAGACCAAGTGAGTGGATTAGCTTTCACTGCTTCGTATACTTGAGCCCAGTGGGTTTGGGCAAACAGGGGAAAAGGAGCCTCAAAAGAAGCATATTTCCCGCATATAAGACTGATGAATATCTACTCATTTGTTGCTTGGAAAATAAAACTTGATGCTCCATGTATATGTTCAAGTGTGTGGAGCAAACCTAAGTAATTTGTATCCATTTATTATCATGAACATTTTCATCACTGCTCCACAGCGCTACCATTTAAAACACTATTCAATCTTGTGTGACTTGAGATGTGATACATATAGAGATATATGTCTACTCTCTCTCTATATATATATATACACACATATATATACACACATATATATACACATATATATATACACATATATATACACACACACACATACACACATATGGAGAGAGAATTGGAGATAATTGGATATAATTGGGGTTATGTTTCTACATTATATGTACATAATGTATATATGTTATATAATATGTATATACATATTTATAAAAATGTATACATGCTTATATCTATTGCATATTCAATAGTCATAAGATGATATTTTATCAATGTATACATATTTGTGTATACATAACATGTAAGTATGTATATATAATACATAATATATAATGAGACATGTCACTATATATATGTGAGACATATGTATACACACATATTATCTATATACAAGGAGAAACAGAGCTCCAATTACACAGATTCAATCCCTATCTCAGGGTGCAACCCAAATTTCAACTCCTCCATGAAGCTATCAGCTAGAAGGAAATTCTCCCTCTTTTGAACTCTAGTAATGCATTATCTAAACCTTTCATGCAGTTTTATAAGCTGTTACCAGAATTTATCCACCACAATGCACTCTTAAAGCAAGCAAGACCCACCTGAAAATAAGCAATATACAGAAGTTGGACAAAGGTTTGGACAAAAATAAAACCCATTCATGTCTCATTAACAAATTATATTAACTAATTATGAGTGAAATAACCAAAGGACAAGCAGACGTAATTGCCTAAGTGAGAAGTTTCAGGCACTGGAACCAAGGACTTAGAAGAGACAAACTGGAGATGATAATGCAGATCCAGTGTTCATAACATTTCTTTCCCAGTCTCAGAAAGGGTGGGCCAGAACTAGCATAGTTTTAAGATAAACTCTTCTCAACTGTGTTGAATGGTGGACAAGTACAAGTTATTATTCGTTGGAATTTGGGACCAGGATTTCCATATGCTTGAGGTGCAAGGGAGAAGTCTCAGAGAGATAAGCTATCATGAGTCAGTTTATCAAGATAGAACTTTTTGGCCATTAAATTGTATAAAATTCTCACACTCTTAATTTGAGAAGCATGGTATTGAAATCTTCTTTCTAAATAATTATTGCTAATTGAGAATCCTTCAAAACTAAATCTCGTTTTAAGACTTAAAATCAAGAGAACTGAGATGACAATTTGATAGCTAGAATTTGATAAGACAAAAACTTATCACTTTTATCTTTTCTCTTCATTACATTAAAATTATGATTTCCTCTGATTAAACCCCTTTCATACTGTCCTCAAGGTATTTAGTACTACACATTTCACAACAAATATACTCAAAAAATATTTTTAAATTAATGATTAAAAACAATGTTTTATGAAATAAATCTCTGCCAAAAATCCTCTAATTATACTGTAACCAAGTCACAGACAATGAAAGACATATACTACTATTCCTAATCATGCCTTATTCAGTCAGAATAAATATATAATTTTTAAAAGTCTTATTTTAGAAAATATCATCTTATGACTATTGAATATGCAGTAGATATAAACAATATATAATACATGTATATGGATATTGATATCCCTTCTATTACAGAACCATGGCATTTTCAATTTAACATATTATAGTTTTTTGATCATTTTATTAGCTTTCTATAAAAGTTATTGCCTGTTTTATTATGAAAATATAGTAAAAATATCTTTGATAAGATATAGGATGGGTAGTGACTTCTATGAAGAGAAGAGTTGTATTTCCTTCTATATAACTTAATTTTTTAAAAATTAGTTATCCAACATCAATTTAAAAAGCACATAATATTTAACGTATAGAGGAGAATATGTTCAAAAGCCCTTATGTGAATCAATTATTTAGAACTTAGGAAACTTAAAATTACAGAAATGATTATTACATACTAGTGTCAACTCTCAAAATGTTATTAATGTGAAAAGTATACCAATAATATGAATTCAACTATACCTCCCTGAATAAATTTATAAAACTATCTCCATGGGAATGGGTAAGGGAGGAATTTGATGATCCTATCTTAAATGTTATCTTCCCACCCAATTCCCATCTCAGGTGGCAGTATTCCTGGCAGCATCAATAGACAAAAATTCATCTTTTGTGTTAAATACTTCTGGTAGCCAATGGTTTATTAACTCTTATTTTCATAGCAAAAAAAAAAATGGTTTTCTGTATATCTATACACACCTGCAAAAGAAATCTTTGCTTCAGTCTCTGACACATGTTTTGCGAAAAGTACTTAACAATAGTTTTCAATTATTTACAAAACCCTATGAGGACAGAAACAATGGTAGCTGTAACATAGTTGTTAACATATTGCCTAGCAGGTAATACATAATAAGTGTATGTTGAATGTATACATGCTCGATTCAATTAATAAGTAAATGAATGAAAATGTGGAAGAATTAAAATCATTTTGATAGAAAGTTAACTGTTATTAAATCAGAAATTTATTTACTAGTTTCCTAAGTCAATACATTTGTTAATTGCCTGTTATGAGTGAATAAAATGAACCATAGACAGAAAGCTGTACCCCTTAGCAAACAAAAAATTAAAAAGTCATATTTTTCTAAAAGAATGCTGTATGTTGAGCGTCATTTCCTTTGAAGTATTTGCTACCTTCTTGACTCATATATGTTGCACGTATTTCATTGACTTTCAAGCTTATTAGTGCTTCAACTATGTTGTAAAATGGAGGGAAAGAGTCCCATGTGTTTTCTAACTGGCTACACTTCGCATACCCATCTTATAAAAGCATACTGATAGTGTTTCATTTTAGATTGAATACTGCCACAATGGACAGAGCAGCATTGTTTCTGAATCAGCAGTAACAGGAACAGTATTGCCATTAGTGTGACAAGGGCTAAAGCAATTAGTTTTAAACTTAATGAAACAGCTGTTCCGTCCATTTACTAGATCATGTTGATACATTTCTACATCCTTTTATGTGTTTGCAATGGCAGATGCCCTGTGTGTTAGCCCTAGTGTTCTTGTCTGGCACCCTGACTTGTAACCATGCATTATAGCCTTAAGGGACTGATTATCTCTACTGTCACATCCCTCCATGGTACTGTATAATTGTTTCAACTGCAAGTAAATTCCTCAAATGCTTAGTAGGCACACAGGATGAGCGTCTGCTGGACCTTCCAAACTGCTAGTGACTACACAACAGGGGAAAGGAGGCCCCTTTAGAGGCATTAGGTTGTAATGCGTTCTTTATGTGCTTACCTATGAAAACACAGATGGAGTTGCCCAAACTAACATGTCAAATGACAGCTACTGGGAAAGTTTATGCTGACTATACCGTGAAGAAGAGTTATCTTCAATGATTAGTACTGTATATTAAAATACAAAGGAATAATTGTATATACCATAAGTGCAATATGGTCTGGCTAGATAAAAATAGACACTGCTTTGATATTTTTGCTGTTTGAAATTTAGATGTTAGTCTTTTATTTACTTTTTAATTACTTAGTATGTGTGATATGTATAGCTAAGACCTCCACCATCTGTTGATGGCATTAAACATCATGAATTAATTCTTCCTTCCTACAAATGTCTTTCTTTGAATTTAAAATATTATTGCTGTATTTGAATTCTTGACAATAGGAAGAAAAATAAGCAAACTTACTCAAATTAAAATATTTCCTTCGGTTAATCTAATCTTACTTAAACTTGACCAGATGTTTTTAAAGTTATGCATAATTATTTTTGAATGAAAACACAGTACTTTTCATTACTAGACAGAACCTGAACCTGATTGTCTTCTAATTAACCTGATTTCCTACCTTTGGGAAAGCTGAGCAATACTTACCTGGTTTCACAATAAAGTTGGGATTGACTTAGAGTATCAGTGTATGAAAGAGTAGCACTTTGTTAAAGATCTGAAAAAAATAAAGTATTGAATGGATACAACTACATTGGTGCTTATATTTTGGAGCGAATAACTCGGCCAAATTAACAGGGCAGATAAATTATTAAGAGTTGTAAAATTCTGTTAGGCTTGTGAAATAAAAGATTATTGTTTTAAATTTAATCACCCGGGTATCAGTGTGTATCATATATTTTAAATCAACATCCATGGGCTATAAATATTTTATTAAATATTTTAAGAACACAGGAATATTTATGTGTAATAGCATCTTTTGACTGAATAAATGTTTCCACTTAATGAGAAAATGCATTGGTACCATTTCTGGAAACTGCCTACTTTTCTTCAATTCTCCTGCTGTTCCTACACTTCAATATTTTCTTTATAGGCACTAATTTGTATGCCAGCGTGGTACTGGATTGACAGGTAAATTACCCTTTAAAAACATTAGAATATTCACCAGATAAACTATTATACTAAAATAAATCACAGAGCTCAGTTTGTCTGACCTTAGTCACGAAAAATATTATTTTTAAGTCTACAGTGGAAATGAGCATAAATTATAACATCATTTAAAAAAGAGATTCCCCCTCCCCTATGAAACAATACATAAGAAAGCCAAACTCTGAAAAAGAAAATAACTAAGCTCTGATTCTCCCCTTTTGAAATCAGTATACACAACCTCAAATTAACTGCAAAATCTTTGTATATGACCCAGGAAATAAAATATACACCAATTGTTACCTTTGATCTTCCAAAAAGCTCTATTTGTGGATTTGGCTGTGGTGTGTGCCAAATATAATTTGGGGTTTGTACTAGATTTTCTTTCCCTTGTAACATGTTTTATTGTACCTCCAAAAGAGATTCACAACCATGTCTTCTTAAAGCAAGTATTAGACTGGCAATTAGAAAGCAATACATTAGATTATAGGGGTGCTTCAATTTGGTCACAAATAAAAAACCTGAAAGATTCTTTCAAAGTTTCTATTTAATTTCTGGAGAATTTATGTTCTTTGAATTATTGAAGTAAAGTTGTGATAATTCTTTAGAGTTATAGTCCCACATAGTTATATTTCTATAAAGTTATAGTTACATTTATATTTACATAAATGTATTCATATAAATTTCAATAATACTGTTTTATAAATAGTATTATAAAAATACTATTTATAAAATAGTATTATAAAAATTCTGCTAATTAGATTCCACTTCTATGTGGAAGTGCATAGAACCATACGATCTTTGACAAAGTCAACAAAAAATATCAATAGAGAAAGGACTCCCCTATTCATGAATGGTGCTGGGATAGCTGGATAGCCATATACAGAAGATTGAAGCTAAATCCCTTCTTTATACCATATACAAAAATGAGCTCAAAATGGATTAAAGACTAAAATGTAAGACCTAAAATTATAGAAACTATGGAAGCGTACCTAGGAAATACCATTCTGGACATAGGCCCTGGCAAAATTTCATGATGAAGACACCAAAAGCAATTGCAACAAAAACAAAAATTGGCAAATGGGACCTTGTTACACTAAAGCGTTTCTGCACAGCAAGATAAACTATCAACAGAGTACATGGACAACCTACAGAATGGGAGAAAATATTTGCAAACTATACATTTGACAAAGGTCTAATATGCAACTCTATAAAGAACTGAAACAAACAGCAAGAACAAACAACCTCGCTAAAAAATGAGCAAAGGACATGAAGACACACTTTTCAAAAGAAGACATATATGTGGCCAACAAGCATATGAAAAAAAAATGCTCAATGTCACTAATAACTAGAGAAATGCAAATCAATACCCTAATGAGATATCGTCTCACACCAGTCAGGATGATTATTATTCAAAAGTCAAAAAACAGCATATGCTGGCGAGGTTGCAGAGAAAAGGGAATGCTTATACACTGCTCGTGGGGAGGTAAATTAGTTCAGCCATCTTGGAAAGCAGTGTGGTGATTTCTCAAAGAACTTAAATCAGAATTATCATTACAACCAGCAATACCATTATTAGCTATATACCCAAAGGAATATAAATTATCTTACCATAAAGACACATACACACATATGTTCATCACAACACTATTCACAACAGCAAATTCATGAAATTAACCTAAATGCCCATCAACAGTAGACTGGATAAAGAAAATACAGTACATTTATACCATGGAATGCTATGCAGTCATAACAAGAATGAGAGCATATCATTTGCAACAACATGCATGGAGCTGGAGACCATAATCCTAAGAGAACTAATACAAGAACAGAAAACCAAATACTGCATGTTCTCATTCATAAGTGAGAGCTAAACATTGAGTATACATAGAAACAAAGAAGGCAACAAAAGTCACCAGGACCAGCGTTGAGGGTAGAAGGTAGGAGGAGGGAGAGGATCAAAAAACTACCTATTTGGTACTATGCTTATTTCCTGGGTGACAAAATAATCTGTATACCAAACCCCCATAACACACAATTTAACTATATAGCAAACCTGCACATATACCCCTGAACCTAAAATAAAAGGTTAAAAAAAAAAAAAGCAAAAGAAAGTGGCAAATAACTTCAGAAGATGCTTCAAAAATTTTTCCCATTCTTTGGGTCATAGCATTCATATCATTTGTCAAATGTGTGATAGAATTTTTATTAGCAAACATTCTTTATAATTCCATGGTAATCTTATATTAAGGAACCACAGCAATTGAAAACATCAGATATTTTCTTGCTGTATTAATGCTGAAGGGACCTATGGAAACAAAGTAAACTAAAATAAGAGCTTTGGGTTCATCATGCTTCGCTTCAGAGACACATTTAAAAAATTCATGGTTCAGCAAAATGCTTCTGCACTTTTGGAATCCAAATTTTCTGGATATTTTAATCTTTTAGAAATTTAATATTTGAGAAATCCAATTTATTTGTAAATATAATGGCCCTAAATGATGGCTACTTTCTAGTGTATTTGGGAAGAATATATAAAATTGTAAACAAAGGTTTTTAGCATCATGATTGGCACGGAATAAGAACTCAATAAATGTTAATTTTCTTTTTCTCCAGTTTACTGAGAATAAATCCAATGCACAAAGAGTTATAGAAACAATGAAAAGTGAGTTTAAAATAATTGTAATGTCTTGTCAAATTTGTGTTGGCTTATATTTTAAGAAATAAATTATTAAAGACACAAAAAAGCAAAATAAATAGATTTTCAGACAAACAAAGGATCTTTTAGTATATATATTAAATTTTAAGAAGATGCATGTTTTAAAAATTACAGATTATCCCCCTGGAAAATAGTGAAGTAATGCATAATAATGAGCTTCTGAGAAGAAAAATAAGTTAATAAAAAAATACTGGATTAATCCAAAAAAAGTAATAGAGAAAAATTTATATGAAATAGAAGAAAAATAGAAAAACAAGAATATAGTGCATTTAAATACATACACGCACACACACACACACATATATATCAATAATTAAATTTAATGAAAACAATGTAAATAGAATATTTAAATGATAAAGTGTGGCAGACTGGATAAAATAATATAATCCAACTATATACATGTAGCAGACATAACTAAATATATGCAAAAAATATTTGAAAGTAAAATTTTCAAAAATATATATTATTTCAACCCTAACCAAACAAACTAAAACATCTTGGTGCATATTTACTAGTATATATTAAGTATATATTATAATATGTTATTATATATTATATTCGTATAAAATATTATTGCATAGCAAAATTATTAGTTACAATAAGGTTCATTTAATAATCATAGAAATGTCACTCTACCATGAAGACATAAAAAATTCCAAATAAGTAAGCAGTCACTTCATTGTTATTCTTTCCCATGTAACAAAACCACCTCAACAGTTAGTGGCTTTAAATAATAATGTATTGGCCGGACACGGTGGCTCATGCCTGTAATCCCAGCACTTTGGTAGGCCAAGGCAGGTGAATCACAAGGTCAGGAGATCGAGACCATCCTGGCTAACACGGTGGAACCGCGTGTCTACTAAAAATACAAAAAATTAGCCAGGCGTGGTGGCGGGCACCTGTAGTCCCAGCTACTTGGGAGGCTGAGGCAGGAGAATGGCGTGAACCCGGGAGGCAGATCTTGCAGTGAGCCGAGATCACGCCACTGCACTCCAGCCTGGGCGACAGAGCGAGATTCTGTCTCAAAATAATAATAATAATAATTATTATTATTATTATTATTTATTATTTTTCATGATTCTGAAGGTTGACTGAGCTCAGCTAGTTTGCACTTAGGGTCTCCTATATATGATCTGCAATCAGATGGCAGCTAGTGATGAAGACATCTGAAAGCTCAACGGAACTGAATGTCCCAAGTGGCTTATTTGCAAGACTGGCAATTATTCTGCCTACTTCCTTGAAGTGTAGTTAAGTTTGTACACTGGAGGATTTGCATATGGCCTTACTAAGGTCTTGGTCTTCTTACAGGATAGTGGCTGGGTGAATGTTCCATGATTTTGAGGTACATGCTGAAAAGCTTCTTAAGATTAGTCTTGGAAATCCCAGAGCATCACTTCCATGGCATTCTACTAGTCAAGCAAGTCACTAAACCAAGATCAGAGTAAAGGAGAGATGGACTAGAGTCCTCCTCTTGATATGAGAAAAATCTGATGTGTAGAGGGAAGGAAGAGATTGATTGTGATGTCTTTGGATACTCTCCCCGCATAGAACACAACAACATAGCTTCAAACTATATTTATAAAAACTGATCAAAATATAATGAAAAATAGACAATCATAATCACATTATAATCCATGATGAAAACAGAAATATTTTTTCCTTTCAAGATGAAACAAGCAACCATTCTATCCAGCATTTTACTGAAAATACCAACTAATGAAGTAAGATAAGAACAAAAAATAAAATAAGCAAGAATTAGAAGGGATGAAATAAAATATCCATGATTTATATAAGACAATTTTATGTACATAGAAACTCTAAACAATTCTAAAATAGACTATTACAATAATGTGGTGTGTATAGCTCATTCACTTGATACAAAAAAAATCTGAATTTTATCACTATGTTTTGTTATAAGTAAAAATTAAGTGTAAAAATTCTACCATTTACAATAGCATCAAAAAAATTAAATACTCTGTAATAAATGAAACAAGAATGAACTCTATGCAAACACAATGTGTAACACATAAAATATTGAAAGAAATTTAAATCAATCTTAATAAACAAGGTATATTCCATGTTCATGAATTGAATAACTCATACTGTTAGGACATTAGTCTTCCCAGTTATTTGTAGATTTAATGAGCTTCCAATCAAGTTATTAGTAGGTTTTATTATAGAGATCAACCAGATCATGTTATAATTAATGTGGAAGTACATACACATTTTGCTCAATGTTGGCCAAAATAATTTTAGAAATCAGAATTAAAATTGAGATTTTAAACTATTGACTATCACTTTATTATAAAATATATTAATTAAAACAATTAATAATTATTATATATAAAGCTATGTAGACCAATATAACTGAAAACAGTGTTCAAGAACAGATGAATATGGAAACTTGATTTTATGAGAAAACTAGCATTATTGAGAAGTAGAAAAAGAATAGTCTTTTTAAAAATTGGCCAGTATCACTATGGAAAAAAATTAGTTTTCATCTCTGAAGGAAAGCATACAATGAAATCTATACAGGTAGATTATAGACCTAAAATTTAAAGTGAAAAAAAGAAAGCTTTGAAGAAAAAACATAGGAGAATATATTTATTACCTGAATTTTAAAAATGCTCCTTAATCCTGATACATAAAGAACTAACCATAAGATAAAATACATAAAAATTGAACTACTAAAAATTCCTGTACAAAAAAGGCACCATTCATGGCTGGGTGTGGTGGCTCACGCCTGTAATCCCAGCTTTTTGGGAGGCCGAGGTGGGAAGATCACAAGGTCAAGAGATGCAGACCATCCTGGCCAATATGGTAACACCCCATCTCTACTGAAAATACAAAAAAATTAGCCAGATGTGGTGGCACGTGCCTGTAGTCCCAGCTACTCAGGAGGCTGAGGCAGGAGAATCGCTTCAATCAGGGAGGTAGAGGTTGCAGTGAGCTGAGATCGTGCCACTGCACTCCAGTCTGGTGACAGAGCAAGACTCCATCTCAAAAAAAAAAAAAAAAAAACCATTCAGATAACAAAAAGGTAAATTATATAATAGAAGAAGGTATTTGAAATAACATTTTTAAAAATTGTATCACAATATATTTATCAAAATCCCATAAATCAAAAATAAAATACACAATCAAATAAGATAATGGACAAAAGATTTAAACAAGTATTTCACAAAACATAATACCTAAATAACCAATAAATATTAGAAAAGTGTTCAGTGTACATGAGAACAATGCAACTTAAAACCACACATGTTTACATATAAACACACACACACACGAATAGAAAAAACAAATGAAAACAACACCACAAAAACAAAAGCCTGCAAATCCTGTGGAAGATGTGGGGCAAAGGGAACTCATATATTGCTGGTAAGAGTGTGACTGGGCCTAAGCATTTTGGAAAATGGATAGTACCTACTGAGGCAGAACACACTTAAAAACCATACATATATGTGTCTAAGAATGTTCGAGGCAGAACAATGCCAATCATGCAAAATGAGAAATAACCCAAATATCCATCTGCACTAGGATTGATAAATTGCAGTATATTCCCACCGTAATTACTATGAAGAATTAAAATGAATGAACTAGTTTCATGTAAAACATGGAAAAATATGGGCAAAACAAATTTAGATAGTTAGAGACACACAATAGTACATACTATATGATTCCACTTAAATAATGTTCAGAAATATGCTAAACTTAAAAGTCAGGACAGTGTTAACCTTTCTTAAGTATGGGAGTGATTGATGGGGAGGGCAAATCAGGGGCTTCTGTGTGAAATAATAGATGAGTATTGTTATAAGTTAGTAAGTATTATGGTGTTTGTTACACAACAAAATAGAACTGATTCACCACATATTATGTTATGCCCTGACTCTTAGAATGGAACTGTCTTTTAAGTCTATCCCTGGCTAAATGCAAAGATCCCATCTGCAAGTCTGAAAGAACCGCCATTATAAAATGTGTTCAGAATATGGAATGCCAGGGATTTTATTTTCTTAACATGAATGTTCACTTCGTACTTGAGCAGTCTTTTTTTTTTTTTTTGAGACAGAGTCTTGCTCTGTCGCCCGGGCGGGAGTGCAGTGGCACGATCTTGGCTCACTGCAACCTCCACCTCCCAGGTTCAAGTGATTCTCCTGCCTCATCTCCTGAATAGCTGGGATTACAGGTGCCTGCCACAAGGCCTGGCTAATTTTCATATTTTTAGTAGAGACGGGGTTTCACCATGTTAGCCAGGCTGGTGTGGAACTCCTGACCTCAGGCAATCCACCCGCCTCAGCCTCCCAAAGTGCTGGGATTACAGATGTGAGCCACCACACCTGGCCCAAACAGTCTTAATTAATGCAAATATTATCCTTCTGTTGAAAAGTAGACTCCATAAGTTTTACTTATTTTTCCTAATTCTGCATTCCAGCAGCACATGTGAAAAGACAGGTTTGTCCTAATAGGACATTCCCACGTATGTGAGAAACAAAATGTTAAATTTATTTTAAGTATTTATATCTCTATGGCTTCTGCATTCACATACAAAATTCAAGTTTAGCATTTCTGCTAATTTCATCAGCTAAAATTTTCCAGAAAGAAGAAATTTTAGTGAATCCCTGCTAAGAAATGTCAGACCAAAAGGATTAGTACTGACCTAGGTTTGAAAGGTCAGTGGGTTTGTTAAAGAGGGAGGGAGAATTATTTCCTGAAGCAGTCTTCACCATCAAAAATGCCCTATCTGGTTCTCAGAAACCCAAATCTTCAGACTGCTCACAAGGCAATATTTATAAATCTTTTATGACAAGGTCAAGGCTAGGGTATTGCAATACAAGCTATCATCACTGGAAATAACATATAAGCCTTGCTGAAAGCTATCGTGGTTAGCCCAGCATACATTGTTGTTACAGGAAGTCAGGGACCCCAAATGCAGGGACTGTCTGGAGCTGTGGCAGAGGAACATAAATTGTGAAGATTTCATTTTAATATGGACACATATCAGTTCCCAAAATTAATACTTTTATAATTTCTTATGCCTGTCTTTACTGCAATCTCTGAACATAAATTGTGAAGATTTCATGGACATTTATCAGTTTACAAGTAATACTCTTATAAAATTTCTTATGCCTGTCTTTACCTTAATCTCTTAATCCTGTTATCTTAGTAAGCTGAGAATGTACATCACCTCAGGACCACTATTGTACAAACTGATTGTAAAACGTGTGTTTGAACAATATGAAATCAGTGCATCTTGAAAACGAACAGAATAACAGCGACTTTAGGGAACAAGGGAAGACAACCATAAGGTCTGACTTCCTGTGGGGTCGGGCAAAAAGAACCACATTTTTCTTCTGCAGAGATCCTACAAACAGACATGCAAGTAGGAGAGATATCACTAAATTCTTTTCCTAGCAAGGAATATTGATAATTAATATTCTGGGAGAAGAATTGCATTCCTGTGGGGAGGTCTATAAACAGCCTCTCTGGGAGTGTCTGTCTTACGTGGCTGAGATAAGGACTGAAATACGCCCTGGTCTCCTGCAGTACCCTCAGGCTCACTAGGGTGGGGAAAAACCCCACCCTGGTGAATTTGAGGTCAGACCAGTTCTCTGCTCTCTAATCCTGTTTTCTGTTGTTTAAGATATTTATGAAGACAATACGTACACAGCTGAACATACACCCTCATGGGTAATTCTAATTTTGCCCTTTGCCTTGTGATCTTTATTGGCCTCAGAAGCACGTGATCTTTGTGACCTACTCCCTGTTCGTACATCCCCTCCCCTTTCAAAATCCTTAATAAAAACTTGCTGGTTTTGCAGCTCAGGTGGGTATCACGGACCCACTAATATGTGATGTCACCTCCGGCAGCCCAGCTGCAAAATTCCTCTCTTTGTACTCTTTCTCTTTATTTCTCAGACAGGCCCACACTTAGGGAAAATAAAAAGAACCTACTGTTGAAATATTGGGGGCGGGTTCCCCCAATACATTGTAACAAAGCAGTATCACCTCCACTAGTATTTTCAAACAGCTACATAAGAGCCTTGAGGATTATTATAATCGAATTCCACTTTTCTTAATAAATACCCTGGCCAAGCGCAGTGGCTCACGCCTGTAATCCCAGCACTTTGGGAGGCTGAGGCGGGCAGATCGCAAGATCAGGAAATCAAGACCATCCTGGATAATACGGTGAAACCCCATCTCTACTAAAAATACAAAAAATTAGCCAGGTGTGGTGGCGGGCACCTGTACTCCCAGCTACTTGGGAGGCTGAGGCAGGAGAATAGTGTGAACCCAGGAGGCAGAGCTTGCAGTGAGCCGAGATTGTGCCACTGCACTCTAGCCTGGGCGACAGAGCAAGACTCCATCTAACAAATAAATAAATAAATAAATACCCTATAACTAACTGCATAATGACTCATTGGAGTATATTCAAATAGTCCTCAGAGAAATTAAAAACCTGATTTTTTAATATTTTTATCAAAAAATGCCTAAATTAATGATTAAAGATCATATAATCAATTTTCAAAGAAAATATTTTTATACTGTTGCTTGAATAGTTTTTGTAAAATCATGCAGCCTTGATCCCATATACATAAAGTAAATAAAGTGTATATTTTAAAAGCATCGGGAAAAACATGTCTCAGAAGAATTTCCACTTCTGATATTAAGCAAATTTGACACCATGAAAATTGTTCTGATTCAAAATGCCAAAAACCCTGGATTGAAAATAACAAAGCTTTTTTTAAAAAGCACAGCTGTACTCATAAGTTGGTTAAAAAAAAAAAAAAATCCTCTGAGCCCCAAAATGGAGAGGATACTGGAAGACAGAGTGATAAAGTGCAACTGAACTACAGATGTCTTGGGAGTATTTTCTGATCTCGGAACCAAAAGTCTTGCAGTTTAACTACTTTTCCAAGAACTGGAGACAATACCTTGAGTCTACAAAAATGTGAGGTTAAAACTGAGACCTACACAAAACAAAGATGTTAGCCACAAGGGTACCAGGAAAAATATGTCCAAGGGGTATTGCTAGAACTCTTCTGGGTGGGAAAAATATCCGTCATGAAAACTTGAAAACTTTGCCCTAACTTTATGCAGCTTTAGAATTTGAGTTTAAAGTAAGAATATATTATGGGAAGGCCCAAACTAAGCAATTACTTTAAATTTCAGTAACATATTGGCATCTCAATTCATCCGAAAATGCAGCTTTTGTCTGAAGAGCAGGCTTCACAGGATTTCTACAGATAACATCTTGCCAACAAGGCTCATAATCCTAAATTATCAAACACACAGGGAAGCAACCATGAGTGAGAATCAGTAGAAACAATTCACAGCGGAATTAATCTGCTCAAATAATTTGGGCTTTTACTATTCACATATAGAATACAAATAAGCATACATGAATGTCTAAATGAAATTAAAGGTTAATTTATCTCCATCATTTAAGAACAAGATATTATCAAACAAGTTTAAGTATATTTGATACAGAATTAAGTGCAATTTCTAGACTTTACAAACATAATCATTAATGATAAGAATCCAGTGTGAAGTTAAACAGTCAAGTAAATATGGATAATGAGAGAATTAATGATACTGGATGCAGATGAAGAAATAACTCAAGTTTGCAGCATTCTTTTTACAAAAAGCAGAAATAAGAAGTGAAAAAACAACAGTGGATGATAAATTGAAAGGGTCCCAAATTTCCCTTATTAGACTTCAAAAGAAGAAAAAGGGAAAATGAATAGGCTATATTTAAAAATATAATAACTGAGAATTACCCCAGAACTGATAAAAACAAGGCACATCCCAAACAAAACATATTTTTTTTTTTTACTGAAGATTGTATTTTGTACAGATGACTGAAACAATATGCATTCAAATTCTTTGCTATAATGTGACCATACCACTCTTCCACTAAGAAAGGAAATCGAATTCTCTTCTCCTTGAATCTGGGGACGCCTTAACATTTGTTTGTAACCAACAGGATGTAGAGGAGATGATGCTACTTGACTTCTGCAGCTTTGTCAGAAAAGGCCATTGCTTCTTCCTCTCTTTAAATGCTTGCTCCTGGAAGTTCCCCCTCAGAAATTTCCCTCTTGGAACTCAGACACATGCTGAGACGCCTACCCTAAGCCACATGGAGAAGCCATAGGTAGGTGCTCTGCTTAGCTGATGAAGCTGAGCTCACCCTTACATTCATCGCAGCCAATGTGCCAGACAAATATGTGAACAGGCTCCCTGAAGTCCTCCAAGTTCAAGTCTTCCCTGCTGAGGTGCTAGACATTTCTGAGCAGAAACAAGCTATCCCTGCTGTGCCCTTTCTGATTTCACGACCTATCTATTTCCTGAAAACATAATGAAATGGTTGTTTTATGTCACTATATATAGGACACTAACTGGAGTATTTACCCTTACCTAAACACGTGGCAATTTCATTGAAGAATAACAAAGGAAATTGGATGATCTTAAAAATCTATCTGATAATTTGCTATTCAAATACTTATTTTAAAAACTATATCAAGAATATGCAGAAAACAACAAAAAAGCACAAACCTCATAGAAAAAAATGTACAAAACTGGCAAAAGTATTGAAAAGAAACTTAAAATCCATATGGCCAATAAGTATTAAATACTCAATTACATTAGTCATTGGGGAATGTAAATGAAAACTGTATGTAATACAACTCACCATATCACAAAGGGTAAAGTGAAAAACACCAAGTGTTAGTGATATATAAAGTAACTGGAACCCACACTGTTGGTTAAAGTATAAATTTGTACAACTCTTTCAGGAAATGTTTTTGAAGTGCTTACTAATGTGGAATATGCCTAAATTGTAACCCAGTGAATTCAACTTTTAGCCATAATAGCAATAAAATTATGTACACGCATTAACCAAACAAAAATAAAACATGTGCTAGAATATTCATAACTGTTATTGTGAACCTAAATGTCATCAAAAGCAAAATGGATAAATATACTTTAATATAGTCAGTGTAATACTATATAGTAGTGAGAATGAACAAACCAGCACAAATAGATGGGCATAAATATTACAAACACAATGTTTAGCAAAAGAAGACAAACACGAAAGAGGACATATAGTGTAAAACGTATAGTATACGATGTGCCTGCAAATCGAAAAGCAGGCAAAAAGTAATATAACTTTATTACAAGACTGAGTTCTACGTACCTTTTAAAGGAAAGGGGTTAATAATGCTAAAGGAGTCCAAGAGCAGAGGTTCTGAGGCTGAGAGTGTTGGTAATGCCCTGTTTCTTTGTGGATGGGGGTTGATTATTTTGTGGCTCAGAAATGATACTTCAAAATGAAAGCCACAAAATTCACCTCAGAAGCAAAAGTTTATCTCTGACCTTCACTTGCCCTCCTGTCTCTGGCCCCTTATTGTCCCCTGAGGCTAGCCACAGAAACTATCATCCCACTTCCCCCAAGGCACTTATAGAAAGTAGAATGAAAATGTGGTACATATATACCATGGGATACTATGTAGCCATTAAAAGGAAGGAGATCATACCCTTTGGAGGACAGAGTGGAGCTGGAAGCCATTATCCTCAGCAAACTAACACAGGAACAGAAAACCAACCACCACATGTTCTCACTACAAGTGGGGGCTGAACAATGAGAACACATGGACACAGGGAAGGGTACAACACACACAGGGGCCTTTGTGGGTGGGGTGGGGAGAGGGAGTGCATTAGGAAAAATAGCTATGCATGCTGGGCTTAATACCTAGGTGATGGATTGATAGGTGCAGCAAACCACCATGACACACATTTGCCTATGGAACAGACCTGCACATCCTGCACATGTACCTCAGAACTTAAAATAAAAATTAAAAATTAAAAAAAGCTAGAATCCCTTTTCCCCAAAGCCAGTCATAAAACTTAAAAATTATAGTGTAACTTACCCCCCACCTTTCTGCGTAAAAGCTGGCCATAAAGAAATTATCTGACCTATCTTGTTTGATTGTAGGTCATAAGACTCTCATTCCACAGAGGGCCCTGCCCCATACCAAGAAGGAAGGAATGCTGCACAGAGAGGCAAAGAAGAATCTAAACAGACAACATAAACCTTTGCTGAGTTTCTCCATTCAGTCTTCTAGCATTCAATCATACCATTTGGGTCCAATATTATTTCTACACAGCTATCCATACTTTGTCAACCCTAAGCCAAAAATGGACAGTTTCCCGTATATCTTTGGGTCTTCATTCTGAAGGCTCCCGTGTCATGTAAAACTATGACCAAATAAATTTGTTTGCCTTTTCTCCTGTTAATCTGCCTTTTGTTGGCTGACTTTCAGCAAACTTTCAGAATGTAATGGGGAAGTTTTCCCTTGGCCCCTACCATTACTTCAGTTTCATTTGTGGAGATTCATAGTTGTAAATTGTAGTATGTGTATGTTTTTGTATATTTAATATATTTCAATTTAAAGTTTTTAAAAATAAGAACAATTGTGGAGAGATAAGGTGGCTATCCTACAAAAGAATGGAAATAGCAGACGGAAGCCATAGTGAAGTTAAATATTTTCAAAGAATTAGAAGAAAATAGATGCCCATCAAGAATTTTATGGCCAACTAAATTATTCAATAATGAGTGAAAAAAAAAATACTTTACAAAGAAGCAACATGGAGAACACATATCCAAAATAGGAATTCCTAAAATAAAGTTTTCCAACTCTGAAGGAATTTTTGAAATACACAAATACACAAATAAACACACAAATTTATTTGTGTATTTCAGATACCAAAAATACTGCATCAGATGTACAGTATTTTTGGTATCTGAAATACACAAATAGATACCAAAAATATGAATCAGTATATCGTAGTAGTAGAAAGACATATGGGTATTTAAGACAATTGTTAGCATTTCAAAATGCAATCAGGGTTAAGAAGGGTTAGGATTAGGAAAATCCCAGATTTAAATTCTAAGAATGAAGAAATAGTAACTTTTAAATCCAGGTTGTCAGCTACTAATAATATTTTTTATATTCCCAGGTGTTTATTTTTTCATCTCAATTAGATTGCAAATTTCTTAAAACAGAAGTCTTTTTTGTTTTGGGTTTTTGTTCTTTCTGACTTCTTGGGCAGTAGCATAGTGGTTATTTCACCTTCAAAAGTGATTCTGATATTGAGATGTAATTGCTTGTTAGATGGTGCATTTAATTTAGTTGTATTATTTCTGGCCATTTTATTATTTTACTTGAAAATTTAGAAATTCTCTAAAGAAATATATAATTTAAAAATATTAATGCAAGAATAATGGTTTCTAGTACTTGTTCAAAGTTTTCACTCCAATGAAATAGGCTTGTTTGACCACTCAAAAATTGTAAGTACAGAACATTTTATGAATCAATTCACAACTTGTGGCCTATACAGTGTTTCTCTTTTCTTAACAATCAAGTTTATTATGAGGTAGCCACCTCATAATGTAGTGATTGAAAGTTTGTACACCAGCACCAACAGCGTGTTTAAATATTGGCTATGCTAGATATCTTGAATCAGTCCCAGAATCACACTTTGCCTGAAATTGCTCACTTATAAAAAATAGTAATAATGTGATAATATATGAATAAATTTATATAACAGAAAATGTCTAGATTTTAGTAAGTAATCAATGAATGTTAGCAATTAATAGCATGGAAAATGCCTTGATAGAAAATCATCTATGTCTTTCAAAAATTCCTATGTTTGAATTTGCTTTTAATTTTCTTTATTTTTATTTAAATTTTTTCAGATTTAATTTAAAGTTTACAGGTTAATTTAAGTTTATGTTTCAAGAGACCTATTTTGCCATTTGAAGTTATAAATCAGATTATTCTGCTTCAAAAAATCAAAAACATGTTAACATACAAGACAAAATATTAATAACTAAGTAATTGTACTAATGATGGTTAATTTTGCAATTAAGTTCAGATTATTTCTTTTTAGAAATAGTATAGAATTAAATTCTCCCACTTTTGAAGTTTTATTCACATAGTTCAAGTAATGAAAAATGTATGCATGAAGTAAGGTTTTTAAAACATCATTCTATAGTTTCCTTTTTAATCTAGATTTTTTGAACCTTTTTCAAACTAGGCTAACAAACTGACCTTCAGAAATAATGCAGAAAAAAGTTATTTTAGATGAAAGATAACGCCCCAAAACTTGCCCACTTCTGACCATTAAAAGATTTTGATCACTTCTCTACTCATGTTTGATGACGAAGGTGAAAAAACACTAATTAGAATTTTTTTTTAACTTGCTTAATCTTTTTCTTGTCTATGTCTCAGGGAATGTGTTTGATCTGAAGAAGTGATTTAGAATAAATTTCCATGAGTATAAGAGGAATTTTAAAAAGGTAATGAATTTAACATCTGATGAATTCGAAATTTTATGTAGTTTTGTATAATATCAATTTGGCAATCTCAAACAAAGAAATATGTTAAGGTAATGTGTATATATTAAGTATCTTAGCAATTTTAGTATCATTTATATACACATTTTATTAAACAAAAAGTTATTGAGTTTAATAGTGAAAACTGTACAGAACATTTAAAACATCTTAAGTGACAAATTATTTAAAAACATTTTCATTGTAGCATTTTCAGTTCTACAATGTTTAAACAAAAGCTATAAAAATTTACAAGACATTGCATCATTAAAGAAAATAGGAAACTTCAATTTTAGTAAGCCTTATTTTATGTGTGCTATAATACAAATTGCTTGTAGCTTCCACAGGTGGATAGGAAATCTTTTAAACAGTAAAATCTCAGATGAATTATTCCATATTGCTATAAGTTAAAATGCAGTAGAAACTTTTTCAGATAGTACTCAAATTGTAAACATCTTGTTTGTTGTAAAAAGCCAGAACATTCTACATACTCTTACCATCCCAACTAGATAGAGAAAGAACACAAATTAGATAGAACAGACTGCTTAGATGCATAAAACAAAAGGTAAAATCTTCTTAACTAATGGTAAAGACCAGCAACTGGCTTTTCCTATGATAAAAGGTAAAGTTTAGAAAAAATACATTTTACAGAGTTTAATTGAGCAAAGAACAATTTGCAGGGCTACAGAATCAAAATAGGTTCAGAGTAACATCAGGGCTGCCACATGGTCAGGTAAAATTTAAGACAGAAAAAGAAAAGTGATACACAGAAAGTGAAACTGAGGTACAGAAAACAGGAAAATTGGTTACAGCTCAGCATTTGCCTTATCTGAATACAGTTTGAGCAGTCCGCTGGCTGTGATTGGCTAACACTCAGCCACAGTGATTGAGATTCAGCTATTTCTTACAAGAGTAGGCTACAGTCTGTTTACACATCCAGTTAGGCTACAGGTCACTATGTAGCAAGAAACCTTTAGGCCAAACTTAAAATATGTACAAAGGCAGCTTTAGGGCAAACTTAATTAATCATCTACCATGAAAAGAGTAGAAAAACATTGAGAAAAGAAAATAGATCAGAGCAGTGTGAGCTATGTTTGGTATGTAAAATTTATCAGGCCGAGAAAGACATGAGTACCTGACTTCAGTTGTCTACCCTCTACTCACAACTATGCCCAATGGCATTGTTTAAAAGCATTTTTTTTCCTTTTTTTTTCTTCCCCAGCAGTTTCTTGACTAGCTGCCTCATTCATTATCTTCATGTTCCTGGAATTTGTAATACACAAGAATGTATAGCCAGTGAATAGCTTGTTATTTTAACATGAAATTTTGGTATACAATTTAGAAACTGCCTCTTCTTTTTTCTTTTACAAACCCACTTGTAATTGTTGTTAATCAACATATATATTCAGGCCACCCTGATCTATGCTCTAGTGTTGCAGTCCTTAAACTTGGACCAAATACTCTCTATTTATATTAATTCTGGCTCAGCTTCTTCCTTTATGTTGACAACATGAATTAATACAAATATTTATAAGAGTGTAGAGTGAGAATCTATAGAAATACTTTGAAGGTCTATATAAAAGTATGAATTATAAACAAACAAAAATTAGAAATTAGCTGCAACTTGTCTCTCAGAGGTGCCCAAGAGCATTGGTCACCGAATACTGAGCAAATCAAAGTAGAGCAATGAAGAGACACACAAAGAATGATGGGCTTGATTTCTCCCTGTTCTATTGCCATTTTTATAAAGGTGTGTAAAATCTGACACATCATATTTTTTTTGGCTTATCCATGATTTTTCTGATTTAGTCAATAATAATCATTATAGCAAACCCAGTAAGTTCTTATTTGTGTTGGATCGTGTTCTAAAGTACTTCCTTTTAATATTCACAACGAGGCAGATACTGTTGGGACTCAGAAAGAAAGACTGGCACTTCAACATGCTGAAGGCCTTAGAAGCTTTCTTAGAATCCAGGTACCTCTAATTTTGTCTGGTGTCCCCCAACTCCCAAGTGCAGAGAGGGGTTTTCTTTTCGACTTTTACATCTTACCAACAAATCTCTCCAAAAGAAACACAATTGTTTCTCTTCTTCGTGAAATCGTATGATCTATGTCAGAAAAGAAGACTGGAATGCAAATGCATCTGGAGAGACTTTTTCACAAAATAATGCTTGCCACTTGGACTTATTCAATAAAGAGAATAACTTACAAGTGAATTCTGTCCACTTATTCCCTTTAATAATTATTGGTTGCTCCTCAAGAGAATGCTCTCCTGTAAAATGTTGTATACTTTTTCTCCTATTAATCTGCTTTTCTCCAGTTGATTTTCAATGGACTTTCAGAGGGTGATTGTCAGGCCTCTGAGCCCAAGCTAAGCCATCACATCCCCTGTGACCTGCACGTACACATCCAGATGGCCGGTTCCTGCCTTAGCTGATGACATTCCACCACAAAAGAAGTGAAAATGGCCTGTTCCTGCCTTAACTGATGACATTATCTTGTGAAATTCCTTCTTCTCACTCATCCTGGCTTAAAAGCTCACCTACTGAGCACATTGTGACCCCCACTCCTGCCTGCCAGAGAACAACCCCCCTTTTTCCTTTACCTACCCAAATCCTATAAAACGGCCCCACCCCTATCTCCCTTCCCTGACTCTCTTTTCGGACTCAGCCTGCCTGCACCCATGTGATTAAAAGTTTATTGCTCACACAAAGCCTGTTTGGTGGTCTCTTCACACAGACGCGCATGAAACTTGGTGCCGTGACTCAGATCGCTGGATTCAGAGTCCAGAGTGCTGACCATGACCCCTTCCACGACCCCTTATCTCTGTGCCCCGATCCCTTATTTCTATGCCCCGACCCCTTATCTCTGTGCCCCATCCCTTATTTCCGCGCCCTGACGTCTTATCTCTGATCACCGATCCCTTATTTCCACGCCCCGACCTCTTATCTCTGCTCCCCAACTCCTTATTTCCACACCCCGATGCCTTCCACACTTTTCTGGAGGGTAAGAACCCCCGAACCCCTTCCCTCCGTGTCTCTACTCTCTCTTTCCTCTGGGCTTGCATCCTTCACTATGGGCAAGCTTCTACCCTCCATTCCCCCTTCTCCCTTAGCCTGTGTTCTTAAAAACCTAAAACCTCTTCAACTCACACCTGACCTAAAACCTAAATGCCTTATTTTCTTCTGCAATGCCACTTGACCCCAATACAAACTCGACAGTAGTTCCAAATAGCCAGAAAATTGCACTTTCAATTTTTCCATCCTACACTATCTAAATAATTCTTGTCATAAAATGGGCAAGTGGTCTGAGGTGCCTGATGTCCAGGCATTCATTTACACATTGATCCCTCCCTGGTCTCTGTTCCCAGTGCAACTCATCCCAAATCTTCCCTCTTTCCCTCCTGCCTGTCCCCTCAGTCCCAACCCCAAGCGTCGCTGAGTCTTTCTAATCTTCCTTTTCTACAGACCCATCTGACCTCTCTCCTCCTCGCCAGGCTGAGCTAGGTCCCAATTCTTCCTCAGCCTCTCCTCCTCCACCCTGTAATCCTTTTATCACCTCCCCTCCTCACACCCGGTCCGGTTTACAGTTTCCTTCGGTGACTAGCCCTCCCCCACCTGCCCAGCAATTTCCTCTTAAAAAGGTGGCTGGAGCTAAAGGCATAGTCAAGGTTAATGCTCCTTTTTCTTTATCCAAATCAGATAGCGTTTAGGCTCTTTTTCATCAAATATAAAAACCCAGTCCAGTTCATGGCTCATTTGGCAGCAACCGTGAGATGCTTTACAGCCCTAGACCCTAAAATGTCAAAAGGCTGTCTTATTCTCAATATACATTTTATTACCCAATCTGCTCCCGACATTAAATAAAACTCCAAAAATTAAATTCCGGCCCTCAAACCCCGCAACAGGACTTAATTAACCTCGCCTTCAAGATGTACAATAATAGAGTAGAGACAGCCAAGTAGCAACATATTTCTGAGTTGCAATTCCTTGCCTCCACTGTGAGACAAACCACAGCCACATCTCCAGCACACAAGAACTTCCAAACGCCTAAGCCGCAGTGGCCAGGTGTTCCTCCAGAACCGCCTCCCCCAGGAGCTTGCTACACATGCCAGAAATCTGGCCACCAGGCCAAGGAATGCCCGCAGCCCGGGATTCCTCCTAAGCCGCGTCCCATCTGTATGGGACCCCACTGAAAATCGGACTGTTCAACTCACCTGGCAGCCACTCCCAGAGCCCCTGGAACTCTGGCCCGAGGCTCTCTGACTGACTCCTTCCCTGATCTTCTCCACTTAGCAGCTGAAGACTGACGCTGCCCTATCACCTCGGAAGCCCCGTAGACCATCAGGGACACCGAGCTTTAGGTAACTCTCACAGTAGAGGGTAAGTCCGTCCCCTTCTTAATCAATATGGAGGCTACCCACTCCACATTACCTTCTTTTCAAGTGCCTGTTTCTCTTGCCTCCACAACTATAATGGATATTGACAGCCAGGCTTCTAAACCTGTTAAAACTCCCCAACTCTGGTGCCAACTTAGACAATACTCTTTTAAGCACTCCTTTTTAGTTATCCCCACCTGCCCAGTTCCCTTCTTAGGCCGAGACACTTTAACTAAATTATCTGTTTCAATGACTATTCCTGGACTACAGCCACATCTCATTGCCGCCCTTCTTCCCAATCCAAAGCCTCCTTTGTGTCCTCCTCTTGTATCCCCCTACCTTAACCCACAAGTATAGGATACCTCTACTCCCTCCTTGGCGACCCGTCATGCACCCCTTACCATCTCATTAAAACCTAATCACCCTTACCCCACTCAATGCCAGTATCCCATCCCACAGCACGCTTTAAAAGGATAAAACCTGTTATCACTCGCCTGCTACAATATGGCCTTTTAAAGCCTATAAACTCTCCTTACAATTCCCCCATTTTACCTGTCCTAGAACCAGACAAGCCTCACAGGTTAGTTCAGGATCTGCGCCTTATCAACCAAATTGTTTTGCCTATCCACCCCATGGTGCCCAACCCATATACTCTCCTATCCTCAATACCTCCCTCCACAATCCATTATTCTGTTCTGGATCTCAAACATACTTTCTTTACTATTCCTTTGCACCCTTCATCCCAGCCTCTCTTCGCTTTCACTTAGACTGACCCTGACACCCATCAGGCTCAGCAAATTACCTGGGCTGTACTGCCGCAAGGCTTCACAGACAGCCCCCATTACTTCAGTCAAGCCCAAATTTCATCCTCATCTGTTACCTATCTCGGCATAATTCTCATAAAAACACACGTGCTCTCCCTGCTGATCATGTCCGACTAATCTCCCAAACCTCAATCCCTTCTACAAAACAACAACTCCTTTCCTTCCTAGGCATAGTTGGATACTTTCAACTTTAGATATCTGGTTTTGCCATCCTAACAAAACCATTATATAAACTCACAAAAGCTGACCCCATAGATCCTAAATCCTTTCCCCACTCCTCTTTCCATTCCTTGAAGACAGCTTTAGAGACTGCCCCTACCCAGCTCTCCCTGACTCATCCCAACCCTTTTCATTACCCACAGCCGAAGTGCAGGGCTGTGCAGTCAGAATTCTTACACAGGGACCTGGACTGCACCCTGTAGCCTTTTTATCCAAACAACTTGACCTTACTGTTTTGCCTAGCCCGCAAGTCTGCGTGCAGCGGCCACCACCACCCTAATACTTTTAGAGGCCCTTAAAATCACAAACTATGCTCAACTCACTCTCTACAGTTCTCATAACTTCCAAAATCTATTTTCTTCCTCACACCTGACATATATACTCTCTGCTCCCCGGCTCCTTCAGCTGTACTCACTCTTTGTTGAGTCTCCCACAATTACCATTTTTCCTGGCCCAGACTTCAATCCAGCCTCCCACATTATTCCTGATACCACAGCTGACCCCCATGACTATATCTCTCTGATCCACCTGACATTCACCCCATTTCCCCATATTTCCTTCTTTCCTGTTCCTCACCCTGATCACACTTGGTTTATTGATGGCAGTTCCACCAGGCCTAATCGCCACACACCAGCAAAGGCAGGCTATGCTATAGTACAAGCCACTAGCCTGCCTCTTAGAACCTCTGATTTCCTTTCCATCGTGGAAATCTATTCTCAAAGAAATAACTCCTCAATCTTCCATCTGCTATTCTCCTACTCCTCAGAGATTATTTAGGCCCCCTCCCTTCCCTACACATCAAGCTTGGGGATTTGCCTGCCCAGGACTGGCAAATTGGCTTTACTCAACACGCCCTGAGTCAGGAAACTAAAATATCTCTTGGTCTGGGTAGACACTTTGACTGGATAGGTAGAGGCCTTTCCCACAGGGTCTAAGAAGGCCACCACGGTCATTTCTTCCCTTCTGTCAGACACAATTCCTCGGTTTGGCCTTCCCACCTCTATACAGTCCTGTAATGGACCGGCCTTTATTAGTTAAATCACCCAAGCAGTTTCTCAGGCTCTTAGTATTCAGTGAACTAATGGTCTTTTAAAAACACACCTCACCAAGCTCAGCTACCAACTTAAAAAGGACTGGACAATACTTTTACCACTTGCCCTTCTCAGAATTCAGGCCTGTCCTCGGAATGCTACAAGGTACAGGCCATTTGAGCTCCTGTATAGATGCTCCTTTTTATTAGGCCCCAGTCTCATTCCAGACACTAGACCAACTGGGACTGCGCCCCCACCAAAAAAAAATAAAACTGTTATCTCTACTATCTTCTGTCTAGTCATACTCCTATTCACCGTTGTCAACTACTCATAAATGCCCTGCTCTTGTTTACACTGCCTGTTTACACTGTTTCTCCAAGCCACCACAGCTGATATCTGCTGGTGCTATCCCCAAACTGCCACTCTTAACTCCCTCTTAAAGTAAATAAATAATCTTTGCTGGCAGGGCTATGCTGAACCTCCTTAGGCACTCTCTAGTTAGATGTCGTAGGTCCTCCCAATTCTTAGTCCTTTAATACCTGTTTTTCTCCTTATCTTATTCCATTGTTTTTTCAATTCATACAAAATTGTATCCAGGCCATCACCAATAATTCTATAAGACAAAGGTTTCTTCTAACAACCCCATGATATCACCCCTTATCACAAAATCTTCCTTCAGCTTAATCTCTCCCACTCTAGGTTCCCACGCCGCCCCTAATCCCACTTGAAGCAGCCCTGAGAAACATCGCCCATTATCTCTCCATACCACCCCCAAAAATTTTCGCCACCCCAACACTTTACCACTATTTCATTTTATTTTTCTTATTAATATAAGAAGATAGGAATGTCAGGCCTCTGAGCCCAAGCTAAGCCATCACATCCCCTGTGACCTGCAGGTACACATCCAAATGGCTGGTTCCTGCCTTAACTGATGACATTCCACAACAAAAGAAGTGAAAATGGCCTGTTCCTGCCTTAACTGATGACATTATCTTGTGAAATTCCTTCTCCTTGCTCATCCTGGCTCAAAAGCTCCCCTACTGAGCACCTTGTGACTCCCACTCCTGCCCACCAGAGAACAACCCCCCTTTTTCCTTTACCTACCCAAATCCTATAAAACAGCCCCACCCCTATCTCCCTTCACTGACTCTTTTCGGACTCAGCCCGCCTGCACCCATGTGATTAAAAGCTTTATTGCTCACACAAAACCTGTTTGGTGGTTTTTCATTGGCTCCTACAATATTATTATTACCACTTTTTTATATATGAGGAAATTGAGGCACAATATGATTAAGTGACTTGTTGAAGGTCACAGAAATGACTAATAATGCTTATCTCTTTCAAACTAAACACCAATCATGCACATTTTTTCTTTAAAAAAAACAGTTTAAGGGTTAAGATTGTGAAAGGAAAATATCTTGGGCCCCTTCAAGCTGGGAACTGCTCAGGGCAAATCTGCCTCCATTCTATTCGAAGTCATCCCTCTGCTCACAGAGATAGAGGCACAGCCATCTGTCTCTCACCTACCAGTGACCTGGAAGCCCCTGAGGGGAGGGAGAGGGGGCGGGGGGAGGGCTTGCTTTCAGTTTTCTCCACCTTTCTGGAGGAACTAACGTACTTCTTCCATATATTGATTGATGTTTTGTGTCTCCCTAAAATGTATAAAACCAAACTGTGCCCTGACTACCTTGGGCATATGTCATCAGGATTCCTGAGGCTGTGTCATGGGTGCACACCCTCAACCTTGGCAAAATAAACTTTCTAAATTAACTGAGACTTGTCTCAGATTTTCTGGGTTCACATTTTGGTAACCACAGGGGGATTCTGAGTGGAGATACCCCTGACCTTTGACAAATATCCTGTTGGTGCTTGGTACCAGCATGAGCTAACTTTATGGTTCAAACCAATAGGACAATTTGCCGTGCACCCCCTCCAGAGAATCCCTGAGCTCCAAAAATTTGGTTGAGATCAAAAGTTTATTTTGCTGTACAACTCCTCTTTTTGAGGGAGTTTTACTTGCTTCCAACAGGAAGGCAGGTTTTCTTGCTTCCATGATGATGGAAGGCAGACAACTCCTTTATGGAGTTTGAGCTTGCTTCCAACAGGGAAGATGAGGTTTTTTTTTTCCTTCTTCTAGGATGGTAGAGAGCGGTCTACAGCCTGAGACCCATCACCAGGTAAGAAACTGGTTTGGGATTCTGTCTTGCAGGTTGCTTTTAAATGACTAAATTTAGCATTTAACAACCAGCTGGTGTTAATTTCTGCTTACACTTAGAGCCCTCAGAAATCGTATAATTTGTGTGTTCATTGGTAGTTTTGCTGAACTGTTTTGTTGTTTGTTTCTGTCTTGGTCAAATCCAAAGGGGAACCCTAAATTGTAGGGAACAAGGCCTCTGAAATGGGAGGAAAACAGCTAGCAAAATAGAAAAAAAAAAAAGAAAAGATTTTAATTTTAACTGCTTAAGGGGCTTTATTTACATAATAAGGGCACCTTTATGCCAGGCAGACCAAACTGAAAGAGCAATGGCTGTACTTCTGAAATAGAAGCATTTTGTCCTAGCTGAAATATGGTAATAAGATTTTCAAAAAAAATTTTTTAAGGAGCTCAGTGATTAAAAGCCAACTTAATTAAAAGGCTAGCATCCAAGATGTATGAGTGTCTGTGTGCAAGTTTGTATTTGAAAGGCCTTCATGTTTGTGTTTTTCTCTAATACCTTTTTCTTTTTTTTTTTGAGCAAAAGTTTTTTCTTTTTCTTTTTCTTAGTTGACTGAATTCTGTTTTCACCTGATTTTTTTTTTTTTCTAAAATAGCTATTGCAACAGAGGCTACTCTTTGGTTTTCAAGAAAGAGTGTGGCTGCGCGTGGTGGCTCATGCCTGTCATCCCAACACTTTGGGACACCGAGGCGGGAGGATCACGAGGTCAGGAGTTCAAGACCAGCATGGACAACCTGGTGAAACCTCATCTCTACTAAAAATACAAAAATTAGCTGGGCATGGTGGTGCGTGCCTGTAATCCCAGCTACTCAGGAGGCTGAGGCAGGAGAATTGTTTGAACCGGGACCCAAGAGGTGAGGTTGCAGTGAACCAAGGTCATGCCACAGCACTCCAGCCTGGGCTGCAGAGCAAGACTCCATCACAAAAAAAAAAAAAGTGTAGTTTAATTTTATGTATAATTTGGCTCAAAGAAAAATAAAAGCATCTCCCTCTAGCACCACCAGATTTTCTTCTCTCTGTACCTTATGATGCAAATTTTGCTATTTGATTTTCACCTGAGTTGTTTCCTTTAATGTGCAAATTTAAGGCTATTTAGCTGACAACTGCCTAGGATTGTGAAAGAGGTTATCAAGAATCTGAAAGTCTAAGATAGAAAAAAAAAAAATAGGGTGGGCGTTTCTTTATAAACCTATAAAATGTACTTCTATGGTCATGCCTAATATACATTGACATGTATTTATATGTTCTGTACAAAATGTTTCACTGCTAAAAATATATAAAAGAGCTCTAATTAATTGGCTTAAAGAAAATAAAAGCACTTAAATCAGCTACTAAAAAAGAAACGACTAGTCAAATGCTTTTTCAAGTTTATGTAACTTAAGTAAAATCTTTAATAAATAAGCTAGCTTTAAAATTATTGGTAAAGTAATATTAAAAGTGTCTTAAGGAATAACCAACATATATTTGTGTTGCATTTATTAATCAAGTAAATTTTATACTCATCTCTGTCAAATATATTTGTGTCAAAATTTGGCATAGGAGACACAAAACTATAAACCCAGCCCAAATCAGAATGATCTTTGTGTAATTTTTAATAAATTAGACATTTATATGGGTTTAATGAAAATAGCTGCATCTTGAATTTAGTAAGATTACCTTAACTTCTAATCCTGTGGTTTTAGGCAGTTTGGTTCACAGCCAATAAAGAGGTTTATTTTGGGAAAGGACTCTTATTGTCTTTGTTTCAAAGCTAAACTTTAAGTTCCTCTCAAAGTTACTTTGGCCTATGCCCAGGAATGAACAAGGACAGTTTGGATGTTAAGAGCAAGACGGAGTCAGTTAGGTCCAATCTTTTTTCACCGCCTCAATTATAATTTTCCAATGGTAGTTTCATAACTTTAAATCATGACTATCACAGTTTTCATAAATAATCTAGATAAACAATTACAATAAAATAAGTAAATGTAATGGAATAAATACTTGTAGTCAAACTGGTCTTAATTTAGAATATATGGTTATATTAAATTAAATGATAGATATTTCATTATTTGAGTATTTTCCAATAAATATATACTGTAGGAAAACATTCTTGCTAAAAGAAAGTGTCCTTTTTTAAAAAAAGGTGAACAAGTTTTGATTAATTCAAAGTTTATTTAAAGATTATGTATAAAACAAGGTAAAAGGAACCAGGAGTAAAAAAAATATGTAAAGAAAGTTGTAAAAATTAAGAGGTTTTTGTTTTTTGAGGTAAAAAAGCTTAAAGATAAATAATTTTATTTAAGAAATAATCTTCTGTGGTAAATTTAGTCCTAAAATAAAATAACTGGTTGTTTAAAAAGGAGGGATGTTCAGGAAAACCAAAAAGTCTGAACATGTGATGAACAGTAAGTGTAAGTCACAATAAGAAGATTTATATATATTTTTTAAATTATGTAATTAAATTGTCATATTATTATTAAGTTTTGGTTTGCTTAACAAAAGTGAGATACAATGTTTTTTTTAATTAAGGCTATTACATCCATGTATCTTCCTGTATGTGCTTTTAAAGTCCTTATAATACTGAGTTACGGGCTTTAACTCCTAAGTCTAAAAAGGACACCAAGTCCTGCTAAATCTTAAACACTGACAGCAATTAAAGCCTCATCTTCAGGCCCTGTAGAAGATGCCAATCAAAATAAACTGCATTCCTGAGACATAGGGCAAAAGAATTAAAGCTATTAAGTTCCTCAAGGCCCAGTGACTATCATGGAAGTGGTGGACATGTAAGATTACAAGGGCCGATTTTGAAAAATAAAATATATTCAGTTTCTCTATAAATTAATCATTAGTGTCAAAGGCACACTGATGCAAAACCAGTATATGGCCCCCTGTGTCAGATTAACAAGATTTTCTTGAAGCATTAACCAACTCCTTAATAAAGGTTATAAAAGGCCTATGGAAGCTATATTTTATAATCAAGATTAAATTTTATAGATTGTTTACAAAATTTTGGAAAAGAAAAGTAATTGGCTTCTTGCTATTTTTATTAGGGCTTGTTTAGAAAAGTAAGTCTCCTATCTCAAAGAATGAAGGTCTTCATCTTTTTTTTTTTTTTTTTTTAATCCTCGAGTTATCACTTTGGTTAAATAAATGACTTTACAATGACCTGTAATCCTCTTTTGTAATACCAAGTGTTTTAAACCTTTTATATTTGATGAACTTCCCAAAACTAAATTATAAATTATGTCTTTTTCTAATCTAATTAAACCTTTAAGACATTAGATTTCCTAAAGTCCAAAAATCACATATGTTGGCTTATTTGGTATAAAAATTTTACAGAAAGCATTTGTCAAACATGAAATGTTGTTTGGTTTTCTTTGGGTTGTATTTGTAGGAATATGTTATTGGTATGTGTTCCAAAATTATGAGAAACTCCTATAATTCTGATATAACAGTGTACATTATCAGTAATCATAATTGTTATGTTAAAATTATTGTGTGCCACAGAGTTAACAAATTTCCTTGTCAATTGTGTCTTTGAACTATGGCTGCCTTAAAACTTTTTTTTCATTCATGGACAATTGTTGTCTTATTTGGGCCTCTTTAGAAGGTGGTTTTATAATCAGCTATAAAACTCCAACAGGTGCTCTGAAATGCAGGTTTCTGATAACTTTGGGGATAGTGACATCAGAATAGAGGAAAAGCTTTCAGGACTCATGAAGAGCTAAAATGTTCATGAGTCTCAAGCAGAACAGGAATTAACTTCATGGATGGAACCAATCTTTTTGACTTTTGCTTAAAATGTTTGCTGATCCTTTTTTTTATTTTTCAGAACTTTTCTTTTGAGCTATTGACAGCTTTTAACAATTTAGTATACTTCTTATGAATAAAATTTGGAGCATATTTGTTTCTTTCTACCTTTGGAATTTGGAAACTATTTGTGACTATTGTTAACTTATGGCAATACAGTTATTTGCATAAGTGTAATTAGAATATATTTTCATTTGTAACAGGACACAATTGGAGAAATTATTTTACCAAGGCTTTGACTGGAATGATGTACTTTCCTTTAAAGAATAAACTTGACTTATGGAGCCAATAAAGCCCTTTTGAAAAACTGGCCTCATGTTTTATGTACACAGTCCATGTGCAGGGGTTCTGACCTGTGGTAAGTGAAGAATGTTACTTTCTGACAGGCACAGAAACCCCCAGGTTCATCTTGGAACCTCAAGAGGAGAGGTAATTCACCCAGTTCATAGGTATTTGATGGCACAAAGTCATGGCTGGGCTTGGCTTTAAAAAGTCTTGTCTGAGATTCATCCTATGGAACAAAGTTCCATCAAAGCCAATTTAAAAGCCTATGTAAAAAATAATTATGCTTGCTGTGCTGTATACAAATAATTAGGCCAAGTATAGTAAGCAAACCATTTCTACTATGATTTGTCTTTAGTAAAATGAGAAACTTGAGAAAAAAAAATTATGTTTTAAAATGATTGTATGCCTATTGTTAGATTCTAGTCTTGCCTAATGTTTTATTTTTCAGTGTTTATTATTTTCTACAGTTTGGACTGAATTGTAATTTTTCTAGGCTACAACTCTTCAAAATAATGTTTTTAATTTTTTCTCCTTTTTTTCCATTTTTCCTAATTTGAAGTCACTGAAAACTAAGCTGTGCTTTCTTGAAACCCTGCAAACTGAAGCCAGACAACTTAAACTTAAAAGAAAATAAAAGCAACCCATTTACATACATAAACCACTTTCATACCTGCCTACTAATGTATGGACTTCAGAGTAATGTGGCCTATATCAATTTTTCCAGGATTGTTCGTTTGTTGTTGTTTTTTCTCCCTTTCTCCCCTCTATTTTCTCTTCACAGGACATGAGACTTCACAATCTGCTAAAAATGAGCTTTTGGGACCTACTCATCTAGAAATAAACCATCCTAGCCATGAGAGATCAGATGAAACCTGAAGCCAGAGATTTATTTTTTTGTAAAATGCTTTCTACAAAAGATTTGAAAAAAGAAAAGGGGGGAAATGTGAAAAGAAAATATCTTGGGCCCCTTCAAGCTGGAAACCACTCAGGGCAAATCTCCCTTGCATTCTATTCAATGTAATCCCTCTGCTCACAGAGATAGATGCATATTCTGATTGGGCTTGCTTTAAGTTGTTTCTGTTTTTCTGGACAGAAATAATGGACTCCTTACATATATTGATTGATATTTCATGTCTGCCTAAAATATACAAAACCAAACTGTGCCCCGACTACCTTGGGCACATGTCATCAGGATTTCCTGAGGCTGTCATGGGTGTGTCCTCAACTTTGTCAAAATAAACTTTTAAATTAACTGAGATCTGTCTCCGATTTTCTGGGTTCTCAAGATTATTCCCTAGCTGTTAGAATTGTGGCCTTCTTTTTCATTGTTTCCAGAATTATATATTGGTGTTTAACAATAGCTGATTGAGTTGTTAATCTCTTGTGAATTTATTTTGGTTGTTCAGCTATTGTTTTGGATTTTTTTAAGTTATTTAAAATTTTCCAATTATACTAAAGATCTATCAGCAGCTTTTTAATAGGAATGTCCAAAAGTTGGAGTTCGAGAGAAGTGGAGGTAAGAAGGAATTTTGATCAATGTGCAAGCGTTACTTAAAAAAAAATTAAGTTGAACAGAAACTTAAGCCACCTTAAATGTTACACCAATTTATTAAGGACAGTACACTATATATAGGCCTGATTTTGCACTTATATCTGCATGAGAAAAAAATGAAAATTTAAGTTGCTATAGTCTCATGAAAGCATCTTTTGAAACTTAACACTTGATAGTCATTAAAAGAAAGAAATATGGTCTTTAGCAGGGAAAGAAAGAACTCATTAGCTATCAGTATTTTGTTTCACTTGATGTTACCATTTAAAATAAGTTAACAAGTTAGTATTCTGGCCAGGCGCGGTGGCTCATGCCTGTAATCCCAGCACTTTGGGAGGCTGAGGCGGGCGGATCACGAGGTCAGGAGATCGAGACCATCCTGGCTAACACGGTGAAACCCCGTCTCTACTAAAAATACAAAAAATTAGCCAGGCGAGGTGGCGGGCGCCTGTAGTCCCAGCTACTCGGGAGGCTGAGGCAGGAGAATGGCGTGAACCCCGCGGGGCGGAGCCTGCAGTGAGCCGAGATCGCGCCACTGCATTCCAGCCTGGGCGACAGCGAGACTCTGTCTCAAAAAAAAAAAAACAACAAGTTAGTATTCTAATTATAATATGACTATCACAAAAATGAATTACTTTACCAAGGCAGTCAAATTTCTATGGAAATTGTACTGGATGTGAATAAAAGGCCTATGCTTAGAGTCTTATCTTCCATTTTATAGTTCTGTGGCCTTGGGCAAGATACTTTAAGCTCGCTGATCTTTAGTTTCTTCACTTTTAAAGTGAAGATACTAAAATAGCTTATATTTCATAAGGATAAACTAGATAAAATTACCAAGGCTAAAACATATTGATATTTGTTAAGCCAAAATTCTTTAAAGAATCCTTTGACTAAATTAAAACTGAAAAGCTTAAAATAATTAGATTAATAAAGTCCAGCCATATAAAAGGTGAAAGCAGAACTGCCTGCTAGCATTACTATTTAATTAGTATTACTATTAAATTAATTTACATTCGTATTAAATCTTATAATTTATATTTATATATATTAGAAATATAATTTATTTATCAAGACAACTGTGTATACCATTAATTAGTTATTACGTGATAGCTGATCTGATATTTAAATGCAAGTTAAGGGTGTGATAACAGTACCCACACTATTGTCATAGTGGCCATTTGCCCTCTATCTAAATGAGAAAAAGTATTTTGGTGAACATTTAAGAAATCTGGATATTTTTCTGAATTAAGAATATTTTTCAGCTGGAGCCAAATGTCTAAGTTATTCACTATCATCATTTACACAATGTAATAGAAGCCTTACTCAAACCCAGATAGTTCCCTTTTTCACACTAACATGTACATTCTATTGTCTGCCGAATCTGGATATGAAAAGTGAAGAGAAGCTAAAATATTAATCCCATCTAACTAAGAAGGCTAATGTAAAACTAGTAAAAAATATAAGAATATCTTTTTGTTCCTTGTACAGTATTATCTATAGCAACCAATAAATTATAGTGCATATCAAATTAAACTCTAAATATGAACAAATTAAAGTATGTATGTTTGTGATGAAGAATTACTTTTGTTTTTTTCACAATTTACCACTTTAATATTAAAATGCAAGACTTGTAAACCTTTATTTTTGTTTATGTACAAGATGCTAAAAAATATATAAAGTTATGGATTTCAGTACTTAACCTGTGCATCACCAGCCCCAAAGGGCCGTAAGTATATGAAATATAGCAGCTGGGAACAGGATGAAGGTGTCTATTTTTCAAATACTTTATGTTAAAATATATTTGTTATAGAGACTCATTATAATGCTATCTGCAGGGCCTAGACCTAAGAAAACTGCCTTCTAAGGAAGGTATATTTCATTATGAGTCTCTTTGTAACTTACTATGTAAATTCTCTTGATTGTGACCCAATGATATCATTTAATATTAAATTACTTTACATGTCAAAAGTTTCTGATGTGTAAATGTATTTAAATGTGCATATATTAACACAAATTGAAGCATAACATTGACTTTTAAATTATTTATTACAGAGTTCTTTAATGATCAAATGTTCAGTATTTTATACTATACACAACATATAGTATTCAATACTCTAGATGGACTAGGTTAAAACTAAATATGAAATCTAATATTTCATTATTTGCCATTAAAATATTGTTGGAACCATGTTTGTATTCTCAAGAGAAGTCCATATCAAGTGATGGCAACTTATATTTTCTCTCTTTCCTGTTCCATAGTAATTTGAGTACTGCTTCCATAGTTGATTCAGTAGTCAACACGAGTTTATCAAAAAACAATTTTTTTTCACCAAATTAATTTAACTTTTGGTTTGGGTAGCATTTCCAGTTTATAATTGGGAGGAAGTTTTGGATGTAGCAGATGTTGGGTTTTAGAAATAAAACACGTACAGTCTAACAATTTGTCAACATTCTTTAGAGATTCTGGTACTGCATAGAAAGTTTGATTCATTCCCTTGTGTGACCTTTTCTTTTTTCTTTTCTTTTTTTTTTGAGACGGAGTCTTGCTCTGTGGCCCAGGCTGGAATGCAGTGGCGCAATCTCGGCTCACCGCAACCTCCGCCTCCCGGGTTCCAACGATTCTCCTGCCTCAGGCTCCCGAGTAGCTGGGATTACAGGCGTGCGCCATCACACCCGGCTATTTTTTCACTTTTAGTAGAGACAGGGTTTCACCATGTTGGCCAAGCTGGTCTCCAACTTCTGACTTTGCGATCCACTCACCTCGGCCTCCCAAAGTGCTGGGATTACAGGTGTGAGCAACCGCGCCCGGCCCAGCCTTTTCAACTACAATAATCGATGACAAGATCCTGTTTTCAGGGCTATTTGTTAGTTTCATTCTGTGCTACGAAAAGACCTTCAGTGGTTATGTTACTTGATCAATGGTGTGACTTCAGTGTGGCTGATTAGCTTTGTGATGCCTGTTTTCCCTCATGAGAGGGAAACAGTGTGTTTTGTTTCCAGTGTGTTTTGTTTCCGATTACTTAACAAACATTAATAACAGACACTGAATTTTGATATATACATATAATATATATTATATATAGTCAGTTTGTTTTGGCTTAATTCGAGAGTTAAGTTCAAAATAATATATATTATTAATATATAATAATAATAAATAATATATATAATATATATTTTATATATACATGTAAACATAAGTTGAAATCTTTATTAAGAACACTATTGACCTCTTCTATCCTGTCTTGGCCTAGGCCTTGGACGTTAGGTATTCTATGTATGTCTATGCAGACAACACATGGGATCTTTACTTATCTCTATGCTCTATACAATGTTACTCTTCTGTCTAAATCTTATTAAATATTTACTGTCAAATTCTCATACACACTTCATTTACTGTACTATTTTACCTTCAATGCTCCTTATGACAGAGAAAGGCCCTGTAACTTAAGTGTATATTTTGGATTCATTGGTGTTTTCATTTTTAATTCCTAATACAATTATTAATTTCTATTAATTTTACCTCTAAAATTTCTTCCTATGCTCTTTTATTTTCTCAATGTCTGTTGCTACTATTCTGTTCTGACCACTGTAACACCTACAAACTGGTGAGACAACAAAATCCTTCAAACTGGCGTCCCTGGACCTAATAACCCTTATCAGCCACTCAATCCATCCTTTATCCATCCTTTACCCAGTAGCCAAAGTAATTATCAAGTAATTATCAAAGTAATTATCAGCAAGTCTGACCCTATCAGCCTCTTGTTTAAACCCTTAAATTGTTCTAAGTCAAAATTTCTTAACATGATTTACAAGTTTTTTTGTGATCAAGAGTCAGTTTAGCACTCTAAGTACATTTCTGAATTATTATTATTACCATTAAGGTGCATGTTCATGATGTTTTAGCACATCTCATTACGTTACAGAAGGATATTTTCTTCTCTGGAAATATTTTTCCACCATTCTCACCTTTTTTTTCTTGTTATGCACTAATTATTCATCAGTTTTCTTTCCCTGGGGTCACCTTTTCTGACATCCAGTACACACAATTTGGAAGCTTTCATGTATGAATTTGTGCAATCTTAAAACCAAGTCCTTACCCTATAAGAGAATAGGGCTCGTTTTGCAATTTCTTATTTACTTGTCTCCTTCTAGCAGAGTCCTAAACAGAGAGGGAACACACAATAAACATTTGTGGGAGGCAAGAAGGAACAGGAAAAAGAGAAAAGGGAGGAAAGGAGAAAGGAAAAAAAAATGGCTAAAATAATATGAAAAGTAAAGAAATATTTTGATCAAAGAAGAAATATGTTGCTTAGTTATTCACCTATGCTTCACTTGTAAGAATTAAACCATCCCTAATAACAATAATACTACCTTTATTATAATGAACATTATCATCTATCCCAATGTATTATATTAGGAATGATCACCAATGACAATTTTCCATATTGAAAATCAGAGAGGCTTTTACTTTTCTTTCTATTGTTAGTTCTTAAAATGATTATGTGTTAAACGACACAATTCATTGGAAGGAGAAAAACATATCGCAGGTGACAAAATTACAATTATGATAGAAAACAGTCTATTTGATATCTTTTTCTTAGTAACACAACTTTTTAACATTTTAAAAACTTTGCCATTTTGAATGCTATAATCAGGTATTTGAACAGAATTGACAAAATGTTAAAACATGTAATATGATTGCTCATTTGTTCAATACTTTTACTAATTCAATGAGATTAATATATAAGTTAGTAATCTACTCTGCTGCATGATTCACTATAACAGGACACTATTTAATTTGAAAGTCTCAGAAAGAAAGTGATGATAGTCTGTGTAAACAAGTAAGTTAAATGATCTTGCTAATATAAAATTTAGAAGTTAGATCAAGAATATAAGAATCAAAGTATTGGAAAGTTACAGTTAGAAAATATTAAGATGGGGTATTACATAAAAGGAGAGAGAGAGAAAGTTTTCAGCAATATTATTATTTCAATTTGTTTTCAAATTGCAGGTCCTGGGTCAGATATTTAAGGTGAAAAATTCTTTATTCACATAATAAATATTGAATTTTTTTTTTTTGAGACAGAGTCTCATTCTATCACCAGGGCTGGAGTGCAGTGGTACAATCTCAGCTCACTGCAACCTCCACCTCTTGGGTTCAAGTGATTCTCCTGCCTCAGCCTCCCGAGTAGCTGGGACTACAGGTGCCTGCCACTACGCTCAGCTAATTTTTTGTATTTTTAGTAGAGACAGGGTTTCACCATATTGGCCAGGCTGATCCCGAAATCCTGACCTTGTGATTCATCCACCTCGGTCTCCCAAAGTGTTGGGATTACAGGTGTGAGCCACCACGCCCAGCCTGAAATTTTGTGAAGGTAAAAAATATTTGAGATCAGTGCTCAGTAATTCTTTGTGACTAAAGTATAAATTTGATTTGAAAATAAAAACAGTATATAAATCTCACAAAATAACATGCTAGTGAAACTGTTATTTAAACATCATAGGTCAGGTGCGGTGGCTCATGCCTATAATCTCAGCGTGTTGAGAGTCCAAAACAGGTGGACTGCTTGCTTGAACCTAGGAGTTCAAGATCAGCCTAGGCAGCATACTAAGTCATTGTCTCTACAACAAAAACAAAAACAAAAACAAAACAAAACAAAAAAATTAGTGGAACGTGATGGTTGGAACCTGTGGTTCTAGCTTCTCTGGAGGCTAAGGCAAATCCTTAAGCTTGGAGGTTAACATTGCAGTGAGCCATGATCACACCACTGCACCCCAGCCTGGGCGACAAAGTGAGACCCTGTCTCAAAAAAAATTAAAAAGAAAAGAAGAAAAAGAGAAAAAAATTATTAAGAGCACTGTGGAAATATTGATATAAATTCCAGAAAATTTGAGATGTAATTGTGAAAACTTACTCAATTACAAATTAGATAAACCTAACTAGAAAAATTCTTAGGGGAAAAAGGAAATTTCACTGAACCATCTCTCTTCCCTATCCCCATTCTCTTTCCCTCCATCCTTTCCTCTCCATCCATCGCTCTGATCATCTTTCTTTCTCTTTCTCATTTATTTGTCCCTCACCCATCTCGTTTTTCCTTTCACTGCACTCCTTTGTCTGTCATTTCTGTATGATCCTTCTTTTATATGTAGACCAGATCAGCTTCTTTAAAACAACAATGGCCAGGACTAGCACAAGCTCTAGTTCCTCGTATCTTCACTACTAAAAAGGAAGCACAGGTCACTAGCCTGGGAATGGGCGTTGATTTGCCCACTTTGAGTCAGACGTCTGTGTCTGGCCTAAGCATAGCTTAGATTAAGTTCTTATTTCCAAGACAGAGGATTCTAAGAAGGTAAAAGCTCCCATTTGAACCAAATGGTTGGGAGAATTTTCCAGATACGAGGGATGCTGCTTTTATCAGAAAAACTATATATGGCCTTTCTTCAGGTTTTCAGAACTATATAAAAACTGAAAGAGCGAAGGAGAGACCTGAGGTAAAATGTATACTTCAGGGACTATTTAAACATTAGGTAGTCAGAACTTGAATTAGAGCAGTAATAGTGGACAATAGCAATCAATCCATGGAATAACACAGAAAAACCTACGACATTTTTCTGAAGCATTTTTTTGGTTTGGTTTGGTTTTTTGAGATGGAGTCTCGCTCTGTCACCTAGGCTGGAGTGCAGTTGCGCAATCTCGGCTCACTGCAATCTCTGCCTCCTGGTTCAAGCGATTCTCCTGCCTCAGCCTCCTGAGTAGCTGGGACTGCAGGCGCATGCCACCAAGCCCGGCTAATTTTTTGTATTTTTAGTAGAGACAGGGTTTCACCGTGTTAGCCAGGATGGTCTTGATCTCCTGATCTCGTGATCTGCCCACCTCAGCCTCCCAAAGTGCTGGGGGGGATTACAGGCGTGAGCTACCACGCCTGGCCTCTGAAGCATATTTTCTAAAGTTGCATAACAATGTCAATGTATCAAGGAATAGACCCAGGTTTTTTATCTGTGAAGTGATCTAAAATTAACTAGAATTAGTCAATACATCCATTTAAAGCTTTTTATAAAAGCTACATCCTTCTCTCTCTACTTTCTGAGCTCTCTTTGCCTGAGAGCAAACTATTATACTTTGGCAAATTTGTTTTCTGGCATTCATCAAGAAGCTGCACACAATCAAACAGCAGAAGACCATGTCTATTCCTGTTCTAGGTGAGATGAAAGCAAATAAAAAGGCTTGCAAATGGCATAAAGCCTCACAAACCCATTTCTGGTTTGGGATCCAGCCTAGAGGGGAGTAATGGATATTTCGGCTCCTGGTTTGCCTGCTTCCACCTCCAAAGTTTGTTTACTCTTCATGATTCATGATAATACCAATATTCTCCTAGTGCCTAAATTTTGTATCCACAAATGTATTCCCTTTTTCATTTCCATTCAATTACCTAGTACTACCAGTACTTAAAACGTTTTGGGTTCTGTAAATTTCTAGATATTGCACTTACATTTTCTCATTTAATTTTTCTTAATCTTTACAATAGTTCTGTCAGTTATTTTTATTCTCGTGTTTGAATAGAAAAAAAGAAATAAAATAGGGAACAAAGATTAAAGAAATTACAAAGGGTCAAATAAGTAGTAAATAGGTGTGGGTTTCAGTCACAGGTATGGCTGACGCTATTACCCATGTTCTTTCCACTTCACCTACTGCAGCATTCAATTTCTTAAATACATTGCTAGTGTCTGCTGCTACTGCTTTAATTCAGTTTCTATTACCTAATCTTTAGCTACTCCATTAAGTATGTATTGTACCTCAGGTCTCTCCCTACTTCAGTATATTCCTCAGATCCCAGTCTTAAATTGTTTCTATTCTTTTACCTCTTACATATTTTAATGTCTAATTTAAGTTTTTGAAGTATCCTCTAGTACTATAGAATAAATATTTTAAAGAGAATATATATCCTAATTTATTTAAAAATTGAATTTGTTGTTGTTGTTGTTTGTTTGTTTTGAGAGAGGGTCTCACTCTATCTCCTAGGCTGGACGGAGTGCAGCAGTGTGATCTGCAACCTCCACTTCCCTGGCTCCAGCGATTCTCCCACCTCAGCCTCCTGAGTAGCTGGGACTACGTGCGTGCACCACCACACCCGGCTAAATTTTTTTTCTATATTTTTGTAGAGACAGAGTTTCACCTTTTTGCCCTGGCTGGTCTCGAACTCCTGGGCGTAAGCAATCTGCCCATCTTGGCGTGCCAAGTCCTGGGATTATAGGCTTGGGCCATGGTGCTTGGCCTTATTTTTTTTTCATATGCATGATAATTTGTCTTTTGTCCATCCTTATACTTTCTACCGGGATTTTAGATTATTTCTTTGCAAAATTATGTGTGTTTGTTCAGAATTTGTAATTTCAACAGTAAGTACATCATTAGAAACTTGAGTTACAGCACAATGAAAAAATAACACCAAGGCGCTTTGTCTTAGCCACATGAAGCTGAATTTGTAATTAACATTATTATCACAAATTAAAACTTATTTTCTCCTAGTTGTTTGTAATCTTATTTAACTATAAGTAATTTTATAATGGGATTAAAATATTATCAATCATTTTAATTTCATAGTTAGATTTTTACTATATACAAGCTTTCTTCAGTAATTTTTTTTAATTGCAAGGAATGAGATAAATTAACGTAATCATGGGAAGGAAAAGGCTATGATGGCAGAGGGGATGTTTGTACCAGATGTAAAGAGAAAGTAAAATAGAATGATTCCATTCCTAGAAGTAAAGGGAGAAAAATGGAGATGATAGTTGAAAGGAATTGACATAATCAGACAAATATGTTCTAGCCCTTATCCTCCATGACAAAATCTTAGCCATTGCAACATAACATAATTTAAATGAAAATTCTAGAGATTGTGCCCTGATCCACTATAGAATTCTGGGAGGTGACGATGAAAGAGAAATTCTTAAATCAAGTCAGATGAACTAAAGCAAACTAAAAATGGCAGCATGACATAGCAGGCTGAGAGGATCAGAGACGAAATAATCCTCAAATTTCCAGCATGCTTCAAGGCTGAGTTGAGATCCACAGGACCTTCATGCAAAGGAAGAGATGACCTTGTCACAGAGGATAATGAATGGATAACCTGAGCCAGGCTTCAGGTGGAGTACCTGACTAAAACTGAGGAAGAGTCTGTAAAGTCTATATAATTCAAACTGGGTTTGGCAGAAAGAAGCACTAGGCATTCACCCAACAAAATAATGGAAACTTTTATCAGTGGTCATTTGATAGGTTTAAGTGCAAGCAATTTAGAAACTACTCAAGCCAACAGTCTTGCAATGGAGTCCAATTCAATCAAGGACCAAGAAAAAACCTCTGTGTTATGTTATGGAGTCTCCTCCTCCATAATCAGGAGTCACAGGAACTTCTCACACTCAAAGGCCTTTTTGAGACACAAAGAGGGATAAGGAGGTGGCTATAAGGAGGTTGGTTAAAATGGAGGAAAGCTGTCTGAAACAATAACTGATCAAGATACCTTAACTAACGAGTTTAAGAGTCCCTTTGCTCTAATAACCAGGTGGGAGAGGGATTCCTGAGAATAGGTTTAGAGAATGTAGAAAAAGTGAAAAGCCATTTATTTCCTTTCAATATAAGTAAAGAGTAGTACATTTTTAATCCTGGTGCACTTTAAATCATATTTGCAGATGGTAAGTATTTGAAGCACTTTTTTTCAAAGCTTTTAATCCCAAATTAGAGGGAAAAATGTGAATGATGGCAGGGAATAGTATACATCTTCCTCAATATCTATTTTCTTCCACTTCTTTAGAAATAAAATGTTTTAGCTAATCACATAGTGATTCAAAATGAATACTGCAATCCCCAGAAGCCCTTTCACCACTAGAAGTGACAAAGTTCTGGACAGTTAAGTATATAAATTGTTAAGTGCCATCTGCTCTAAAAAAACTTTATAAAATATCTTTTAAATTTTTTTTAAGATTAGAAAATATCTTTAACTTGCAGTTACTAGGAAACATACATATAATCAGTTATCACCTGGCTCTAATAGACTCTTTTTATTTTTCTAAGTAATTTTATTAATAATGTACTAGAGTAATAATAAAGGGATAATCAAAACCAATTTTATTAGAAACTTTAATTAAAAAAATAAACCTTTTTGTATCAGGCAAACTTTGAAACACAAATATCATAAAAACTAAAAGGAGACTGTCATTCTTCTTTATACCAAAAAAGAATGGCCTAAATTATTTTAGAAATATATTGTGTGATAAAGTCTACCATATCACAAACTGGGTGAGAATATTATGCATCTTTTAATTTACTATATTTCACAAATTGATTCTCGAGTTTAAGAAAATTAGCCAAGATATAATACTGATAGTCATTATTTGACATTCTACATACACGATAAATTTCACCATCATTGTTACATTCTAGAGCAGTGTTGTGTAATACAATTACGTGAACCATATATGTGATTTTAGAATTTCTTACAGCTATATTGAAAATGTTAAAGTAGGTAAAATTAATTTTAATCACATATTCTATTTAATTCAGTATATCAAAAATGTATTAATATTGGATGTTTCAACATGAAATCAATATAAATCATGAGATAGCTTTCAGACTTTTTTTTGTTTTCAAACTGACTTTTCAAAATACAGTGTGTAGTTTACGCTTACATTACATATTAATTTGAGCACATTTCTGGTGCTCAATAACTAGTTGTGGCTATTATTAGTGGCTACTGTATTGGATAGTGTAGCTGTATTTATATGTCTCTTTGCATTTATTTTTTAATGATTGTAAAAAGTCTAACCTTACCAATATTTTTCTCTTTCTTACGATACATGGAAAATTTAAAAATCTGTGAAATCACAATTCTATTCAATGAAAACCAAAGGCAGACTTTAAGAATAGGCTTTCTTTATACATTCTTGAAATAATTATTTAATACTTGGAGCATTTCAGTAAGAAATATGAAGAATTATAATGTTAATATAGCATTTTTTGATAGTTCCATGGTCTTTTGTATACTTTGAAATGTTTGATGAGTAGTGCAGTAACTCTTAAGATAATAGCAAAAAGTGTAAAGACATTGCAAACATAAGATAAGAACCTGTAAGGTATCTGAGATTTATAACATTTAGTGGACTCATACAAATATGGTTAAGACACAATGAGTTTTATTCTTTTACTTTAAAACAAAGGAAAATTTTTCTCTGTATTCTTTGGAAGAACTCTAAGATAGTTTAAAAATATTAATTATTGTAAAAAGTTAGAAATTTTCAAAAATATACTCAAAAACGAAAATTAAGTACAATGCACCCTAACAGTATAATGAGAGTTTAAGGTATACGGTGCATGCCACTTGATATTGTCTCTTTGTCCAATCCTCTATTCAGCTGCCCAGAATGTGATATAAATACAGAAGGTTTCACTGTCATCTCAGACCACAGAGCACAAAGTGCATGCACCCAGGAATATTAGAATATTAGAATATTATTATTATTTGAATATTATTATATATAGATTATTATTAGAATATTAGAACATTATTAGAATATTAGAATATTATTAATATTCTAATATTGGACTATTAGAATATTATTAATATTCTAATATTGGACTATTAGAATATTATTAAATATTGGAATATTAGAATATTGACCTGGAAGAACCTTACTTACTAAACCAGAAGCTACCTCCTGTCTTTTTAACATGAGAGATGTTATTTGGGGGTTGCTCTCCATGCAGCCCTCTTACAGAATTGTGTACAAATGAGGATCATGCACTTTTTTTTTTTTTTAGATGGAATCTTACTCTGTGGCCCAGGCTGGAGGGCAATGGTGCGATCTCAGCTCACTCCAACCTCCATCTCCCAGGTTCAAGCAATTCTCCTGCCTCAGCCTCCTGAGTAGCTGGGATTACAGTTGCTCGCCACCATGCCTGGCTAATTTTTTTGTATTTTTAGTAGAGACGGGGTTTCACCATGTTGGCCAGGCTGGTCTTGATCTCCTGACCTCAGGTGATCCACCTGCCTCAGCCTCCCAAAGTGCTGGGATTACAGACGTGAGCCACTGTGCTCAGCCAAGATCATGCCCATTTTTTAATGCCATTTCCACCATTCCCACACACAGAGAGACTTTCATATAGAACAATCATAAAGTCAATACTAAGTAACACTGCCAAGAAAACCCCACACTAATGTACCTTATTTATTAAAAACATACTTTACCTATCTTTATTTTCTTCATTTTTCCTATCTGTGCTTATTTAATGAATGATCAGACAATTCAAATGTTACTCAAGGTTTCTTTCAGTTTTAAGACTACATTGATGTTAGAATGATGAGAACTAGTGAGTTATAATTACCATGTAAAGTGAAATTTACTTTAAAAATAATGGCAAATTGTTGAATAGGTGAAAACTCTGCCAGTATGTTTATTACCATCTCCAAATAGTGCTAGTTCCTTAAAGAGAACTATAGTTGTTACAATATGATTTTTATCCTTTGGGTTTTTTTATGCTTTCTTAAGTCTGGGCATTGTATTATCCATATTTGTTTCATGGTTGAATATGAATAAAACATGAAAAACTAAGTTATATGTCCAGGTAATATAAAACTGGCTTGACCTCTCTGTAAATATCATCAAATCTAGCAGGAAAACACATTTTCTTTATTTCCAAACTAGAAGGTGGTTTCTTTAGAAGTAAATTACATGCATTTGAAAATATGGATATAGGAAACGACAAAGAAGAAAAAGAGCATGTAGGTCGAGGTAATGATCCTTTGCTTATCACAAGCTGACCAAAATCTATAAATGTTAAAATACTTTTTAGGTTACTTTCTCTGCACAAATTTCAAGTATTTGAAAAACTGGCACAGAAATGCTATTTTTCACTACTGTTTTCTAAACACAACCCAATTTTCCTTTTGGTGTTAACACTCGTAAGAAAATATGTAAACATCAGACTTATGACTGCGGGGGCTTAGAGGAAGATAATTAGAGAAATTAAATCTAAAAAACAAAAAGATTTTGTAGATGAAACAAAAAAGTGAAATAAGCTTTTTTTAAAAAAGATAAAATAAGCATAAGCAACATGTGTTTTTCTTTAACTAAACTTACTTTTTTGTCTTAGCAACTTTTAGAATGAAATGGGATTACAGGTAAAATTTACAAATGGGTTAAGATTTTCAAGTTTTCATATTATGACTATTTATATTTAATACCTGAAAAATACTTGCAACTAGGATTGCTTTTATTTTAAAAATAAATCTACCTTTACAGCGACTCTACAGTTTCAATTAATTTATTGGAAATTAAAAGCATGGCAACAAACACAGGGAACACAATAACTGCATTCTGAGTTCTGCTCTGACCTTTATCTTTCAAAACAGTAACTCTCCAAAATTGCTGAAAGGTTAACTAATCTCTTAAAAGGTCACCTGTCTTTAAACTAGCTGCAGTATATAAATGCTTTTCTGCTATCCTGGAGCAATTCATCAATAACTCATTAAAATAGCACTGTTTATTTCTTGAAGTTTTACTTTCTTGAAAGGCTATTTCCTCTTGGTCAATATAACATTTAATGTTATGTCATAATTTACAGAAATATAATTATATAAAACTATGTAGTGCTGTTCAGTTAATTAAAACTATTTTTGAGTATGTAGTCTATGCCAGGCATAGTTCCAGTTGCTAGAAAAGGAAGCTAAGAAATACAGTCATAGACCAGAAAAAATGTTTGTTGTAAAATGTGTTTATGTATAGTGAGTATGGTGTATGTCAGCATGTAATATTTAATCCAATACAATGGCCAATAAACCCTTTGAAAGATAATGAATTATTTCAATATTGTTGAAATTAATTCAAACATTTTCAAAACTTTTTTTCTAACTCATTTGAGAGCCCACAGCATTTTAAAAAAATACCCTAAAGGTTAAATATAAATTAATGCAAAAATCTGTCCTTGAATGTACAATTGGATTCTTTTCATGTGATCAAATACCATTACAAGTTTAATGGGTTGAACAAGGTGACTATGATAGGTGACTATGATAGGTAAAAAGGGGTGCCTATTTGCAGACAAGAACAGAATTCTAAAGTAATAACACAGAATTGTTTCTATATTCTGCAACTGGTTTGAGACTATTTTTTTTGTTACTCTGAAGGAAATAAATATTAGTTGTATAATCTTTGATTATTGTTTAAAATAAATCTCACTAAAGCCCACCAAAATGTCTTAATCATTACCTCACTCATTAATTAAGGCCCAGTATTTCATTCTACTTAGAATAACAATGATATGCTTTATGAAGACAGGCCTCTCTTTCAAAGAAATAACCATCTGTCCACCATTTGGATGAACAATTGCAGTTTTTAATAAAAGTACAAACAGTTTATAAATCCATTTTGCTTAAAAGAGTTCTCATTTTGCATCATTTTGGGTATTTATTAAATTTATGTTTTTAAAACTGGCTTTTTGACATATAGTATCCAAGTTTTAGCAAGCATGAAAGAGTATGAAACAGAAAATGCATCAATAAATATCAGAGTATTTATCATATGTAGTAGAACCAAGAATTGTTTTATGAATCTTGTGTTTTAATTTTATTTGTTTCTATATATGTTTTTATATATAATAAGTTGCAATGTAAATTGCATTTCTTGCAAGAGTTTCTTTCAAAAGATTTGAAAGACACTGAATTAGAACACAAAGTGTGACAGCCTGAAAACATCAATAAAAAATAATGTCTGATTTTCACAAATACACATTAATTTCACATCTCTTGTTTTTCTTCCTGAAAGCTTCAGCATTCATTGAATGGGGATATAAATACTCATGTCTACTTGAATAAGGAACACAGAGTTTGATTGTAGTTACAGGAAAAAAATAGAAAAACAAATGGATATTATTTAAAGCCACTTACCTATACTGACATTCAAAATATAAAAGTCCGTTTATTGTAACACACAACTAACATATATCCATGAGATAAACTTAAATAATACAGTTTACTTGGAAAATCATTTGCAATTGTAGCTATGTTAGCTTTCTAATAAATTTATTTTAAATGAAATTATATATATCATAATCTATGCCTTTAAAAATATTATATTCATTCAGTTTCTAATTCAATGAGGGAAATGGAGGTGACAGTTTTTGACATTGATGTTATTGTTGCATTTTAACTATCCGAATGAAATCCTGTAAAGCGTACTGATTTATTTTTGAATTTGCATTCTTGTGTAGGGTTGAGTCTTAGTATACTCCTGTGTTTCTACTGAAAATTAAATAGGTACTACTCTGTTCCTATCTTAGTATACATTTGTCAAGAAGTCAGAATTTATTCATTTACACTGACATCTACCATACACTGAATTGTTGTCCAAGAGAGTAAGTATGCACTTGTGCATATGAAGCATGTTGTAAGCATAAAAAGACTGTGTAAAATATAGTCATATAGTTTTAAGGATTATGATAATATAAACATCCCTTTACCCACCTTAGAGATTAGAAAGTATTTTCAGAATTGTCCACCCTCACGAGCAACAAATGAGAGGTAATAACTTATGTCAATGATGGGTTCATTAGCCCCTTACTTTCTTTACAGATATGAGTCATTTGTGATTCCTACATATCAGACATCTCATTATGGACATTTTTAATTTTATATAAACAGAAACATACTGTATAAATTCTAGGCATGAGTCATTCACACTGATTTATATAATAGATGGTGTGATTCTCTGTCCAGATACTCTATTTCACTGCTGTATTCTTTTCTCTATTGCTGTGAGTTTGGGCTATTAACAACTCAACAGTACCTCTTATCCTCCCCCATTATTTTGGAAGAATTTTTTTGTTTCACAGTAAAATCAGTACCTGGAAGAATGTGTGTCCCTACCCTTCAGGTGCCCCATGCCTAGTGACTGCTTAAAAGGAGGCCAAAGTGTCTGGTTCACTTACCTCAGTAGGAGAAAACATTATTGAGAGGTGACAGCGTGCTGGCAGTCCTCAGAGCCCTCGCTTGCTCTTGGCACCTCCTCTGCCTGGGCTCCCACTTTGGCGGCATTTGAGGATACCTTCAGCCCACTACTGCACTGTGGGAACCCGTTTCTGGGCTGGCCAAGGCCGGAGCCCACTCCCTCAGCTTGCAGGGAGGTGTGGAGGGAGAGGCGCGAGCGGGAACCGGGGCTGCGAGCGGCGCTTGCGGGCCAGCTGGAGTTCCGGGTGGGTGTGGGCTTGGCGGGCCCTGCACTCGCAGCAGCTGGCCAGCCCTGCCGGCCCCGGGCTATGAGGGACTTAACACCCGGGCCAGTGGCTGCGGAGGGTGTACTGGGTCTCCCAGCAGTGCCAGCCCGCCGGCGCTGCGCTCGATTTCTCACCGGGCCTTAGCTGCCTTCCCGCGGGGCAGGGCTCGGGACCTGCAGCCTGCCACGCCTGAGCCTTCCCACCCACTCCATGGGTTCCTGTGCGCCCCTAGCCTCCCCGACGAGCACCACCCCCTGCTCCACGGTGCCCAGTCCCATCGACCACCCAAGGGCTGAGGAATGCGAGGGCACGGCACAGGACTGGCAGGCAGCTCCACCTGCAGCCCCGGTGTGGGATCCACTAGGTGAAGCCAGCTGGGCTCCTGAGTCTGGTGGGGACGTGGAGAGTCTTTATGTCTAGCTCAGGGATTGTAAATACACCAATCAGCACCCTGTGTTTAGCTCAAGGTTTGTGAGTGCAACCAATGGACACTCTGTATCTAGCTGCTCTGGTGGGGCCTTGGAGAACCTTTATGTCTAGCTCAGGGATTGTAAATACACCAATGGGCACTCTGTATCTAGCTCAAGGTTTGTAAACACACCAATCAGCACCCTGTGTTTAGCTCAAGGTTTGTGAATGCACCAATGGACACTCTGTATCTAGCTGCTCTGGTGGGGCCTTGGAGAACCTGTGTGTGGAAACTCTGTACCTAACCAATCTGATGGGGAGGTGGAGAACCTTTGTATCTAGCTCAGGGATTGGAAACACACCAATCAGCGCCCTGACAAAACAGGCCACTGGGCTCTACCAATCAGCAGGATGTGGGTGGGGCCAGATAAGGCAATATAAGCAAGCTGCCCGAGCCAGCATTGGCAACTGGCTCCGTCCCCTTCCAGACTGTGGAAGCTTTGTTCTCTCTCTCTCTTTGCAATAAATCTTGCTACTGCTCACTCTTTGGGTCCACGCTACTTTTATGAGCTGTAACACTCACCACGAAGATCTGCAGCTTCACTCCTGAGCCCAGCGAGACCACAAGCCCACCCGGAGGAATGAACAACTCCAGACGCGCTGCTTTAAGAGCTGTAACACTCACCGCGAAGGTCTGCAGCTTCACTCCTGAGACCAGCGAGACCACGAGGCCACCGGGAGGAGTGAACAACTCCAGACGCGCTGCCTTAAGAGCTGTAACACTCACCGCAAAGGTCTGCAGCTTCACTCCTGAGCCAGTGAGACCACGAACCCACCAGAAGGAAGAAACTCTGAACACATCTGAACATCAGCAGGGACAAACTCCAGACGCACCACCTTAAGAGCTGTAACACTCATCGCGAGGGTCCGCGGTTTCATTCTTGAAGTCAGTGAGACCAAGAACCCACCAATTCCGGACACATTATTATGTGATGTATGCTTAAGAGCCATACCCCCATGAAACAGGCCAGTCTTAAACTTTGCATGTGACTGCAACTTTGTTCACCTTTTTATCCTTATTCCTGCTGCTGAATTTTTTTAAATTTGAAATTATTTCTGGAAATGCATTCCATCAAAAAGTAATTTTTACCAAAATCCCTGTCTCATGTTCTACTTCTTGGGAACCCAACCAAAAACAACAAGAAACTTGGCCTCTTAGCCAGGATGGATTAAAAAGGAATGGATTTACTTTCCCACATGAAACAGCTAAAAACTTGAATATATGAAGCATTACTGCTGAAGACATTGGACATTAGACAATGAAGGACAGTAATTCCTGAAAGAAGGGAAACACACAAGGGAAGTTCTACAATTGTCCGTGAGATGATATTTTCCAGACCTTTGCAAAACAGAAATCCAGGAGAAGACTGGCAGTCTTCCTGAGTTGAGATGAAGCGGGGAGTCCAATAGACTGAGTGGCTAGAGTCCACAGGGAAGGAAGGATATCAGAGAAGACAGAGCTATAATGAGGAATGTGTGGACTGAAGAAGGTAGCTCTTTGAAGTCTATAGGTGAGAACTCCAGCATGTACCCATGAGGACAATACCCAATATGGGGTAAGGAACCACTCCCCCAAAATCAATGGAAACAATATCTGTGTATCACACAGGGCTGAGAAAGCTTCTGTTCTCATTAGCTACCTGAAGACATAGCAATAGAAACTACCAAAAATGAAAAACAGTTTAAAAAAACAACAAAAACAAATGAATTTATATTAGTGAGATGTAGAATCTATTCAAGTGACCTAAGATGCATACAATTATATGAGAAAGAGGATGGAAGGAAAAATTATTGAAGAAGCTATGGCCAAAGGTTTTCAAAATTTGATTAAGACTATGCAGCCACAGATCCAAGAAACTCAACACATTTCAAATATAAAAAACACAAAAATAGGCACATCAAAATCAAATTGGTTAAAAACAGCTGCAAAAAGCAAATCTTAAATCAGTCAGAGCGAAGAGCACATTATGTTCAGAGAAAATGTAAAAATAACATCAGACTTTTTTGGAAGAAGCAAGGCATCCTAGAACAAAATGGAATTGCCTATTTCAAAAACAAAAGGGCGGAAAAGATATCAAACATATAAAAGATGAAAAAAGATATCAGCAAAGATGAGAACTTCAAGAAATGTTAATAAAAGTTCTTCCAGTAGGACATAAATAATACTATAGTTCTGTCACATTTTGTGAGTGAGATGTTGTCATTGTCTGCCCATTGTTCTTTTTAAAGACGTTGTATAGTGCAGAAGTTTGGAAGATTGAGTTGATGTTTCTGTCTACAGTCAAGAGCAGGTTTCCTCATAGCCTCGAAAGATAAGGATAATGTCTCCCTCTAGAGCAAATGGCAAGTGTGCTTGCTGCCCAATGTAACAGAAAATGTGCCCCATGGAAGAAAGCAAAGTCATGCTTACTGTCTATTATAAAAGACTCAGATTCTCTAAGGTAAGACTTCCTTTCCTCTAATGCAACACAGGTATTTTCTAGCTTTTTTTATGTTGCCTGTGGGAATGAGGGCTTCAGGAATTAATATAAAATGATGATACTCTTGCTACTGCTATTGCTTCTGGTAATGAACTGTCTTTTGTCTCTGACACAAGAACACAATAACATCTGTCAATAACAATGAAACTCTGCCAGACTACTTGCTTAGCATGAACATAAGGTAAAATTAAACTCTTCACTCTTCTTGATGCTTGAACACATGCATTGGTCATTTCTTATTTCCTTGATACAGATTGGAATGCACATACTTAACAGTTGGTCAAATACTCACGCTGGTTTCTTTATCTGTAGCGTAAGAGATATTGTAATAAAAATGAGCAACTGGAATTCCTTAAACTGAGCACCTTACACTTTGGCTGTAATGGTAAACTTCTGCCTTCCAAATACATTTCATGTAAGATTATATCTCAACATTTTCACTTCCAATATTTGGACTCTGAGCTCTCCTCACAAGCCTAGATTTCTGTAATAGACTCCTAAAACTGATGCTCCTGATTCCACTCTTATAATCAATTAAGAAACAATTCTGGTTAAAAAAAAATAAGAGCCACTGTAGTCATTCTAAGTAGGAAACATTTTAATGCAAGGCTTATATTTGATTGCAAATTATTTAAAAGGCTGAAGGAGCAAGTATTAGCTTGTGCCTCTGAGGCACACTCCCAGAATAATAAGCAGTCCTCAGAAATGTAACTGCTATCACTGCAGTCATGACTATACCTATGACTTTCAGGGTCTGGAATTATCACTGCCCACAGAAGCCTCTGACACCAGCGAGCTGGAGAATAGGCACAGTTCTGACTTGAGGCTATGGTATCCATTCAAGAGGTTACCTATGGTGATATTGTTTCTTGAAACTCAGGAGACCTCAGGTTTAGAATCTTTTTCAAAAGATCCCAAACTGTCAAATATTGGTTAAAATCCAGGAGCTACAAGAGGTAGTGTTCCTTTGACTTCCTTCCATGTAAAGTGTCTAAATGACAGAACTTTCTTTGCATCCAGAATCTTAATCGAAAAGGAGGCTGGAAAAATAGACTTAGCTTTCCAACCCTAGAAAATAGAAGATGTAATAATGTTTTGAGAAAAGAAATTCACTTTTCTACTACAACACCTCTATAAGGCTTTTCCCTTACAGCTACTTTAGTGATACCATTTTGTTACATAAAACATAAAGCCTTACCATTGTGTATAGAATAAACCATACAATTCTTATTATGGCTCAAAGTTTACTCCATAATCTAATTCCTTTCTTACCCCATCTCCTGCTTTTCCCCTTCTCTTCATTACATTTTCATCCACGCTGATCATCATTCTTTTCTGCCAACACTAGGATTTTTCTCTTTCTCTTCATTACGCTTTATCCACACTGACCTTCTTTCTTTTCTCACAACAGATGGATACATCTATTTTGTTTTCATTCTTCAGTGATTTCTAAATATTCTTTTTGGACATTTAATTGTGAAAGTGACAAGGTCATATAAATCTTGAAACCTAGTTTCTAGTTCCTGTTCATCTGTACTATAGAGGAATACTTTTCAACCTCTTTTTGAACTGGAAGCCCCTTTCAAATCAATATATAATCACATGAAAACTCTAAGGTATTATTTAAAAGAATCTTCAGTATAAAATGTATTTTAGTTCAACTTTTATTAAAAAATGCATTATAAAGTTAATTTAGATAGAGTAATAATATTGATAATATATGACTAATGTTTGTGATTATATATTTAATAGGAACACATTCTTATTAATTTAATTTATTATAAATATATGGATTTATTGCTAAAACGCTCTATTTTAAAAAATGGAGTGTTTAGCCCATTTACATTTAGGGTTAGTTTTGATATGTGAGGTTTTGACCCTGTCATCATGTTGTTAACTAGTTGTTATGGAAACTTGATTATGTAGCTCCTTTATAGTGCCTGTGGGCTATATGCTTAAGTGTGTTTTTGAGGATAGTAGGTGTCAATCTTTTGATTCCATGTTTAGCACTCACTTAAGAACCTCTTGTACGGCTGGACTACTTGAAACAAATTTCCTCAGTCTTTGCGTATCTGAGAAGGATTTTATCTTTCCTTCACTTATGAAGCTTATTTTGGTGGGATATAAAATTCTTGGTTGGCATTTGTTTTCTTTAAAGATGCTGAAAATAGGTCCTCCATCTCTTCTGGCTTGTAGGGTTTCTTCTGAGAGATCTTCTGCTAGCCTAATGGGGGTCCCTCTGTAAGCAACTTGACTCATCTTTTTAGCTGCCTTTAATTTTTTTCTTTTTCATTAACCTTGATGAATCTGATGACTATGTGCCTTGGGGATTGTTGTCTTGTATAGTGTCTTGCCAGGATTCTCTATATCTCTATATTTCTTAAATTTGAATGTCAACCTCTCTAGCGATATTAAGGTAATTTTTGTGAACTATATCCTTAAATATATTTTCCAAGTTGTTTATTCTCTCTCCTTCTCTCTCGGGAATGCCAATGAGTCGTGGATTTTGTCTCTTTACATAATCTTATATTTCTCAGAGGTTTTGTTCATTTTTATTGATTATTTTTTCTTTTGTCTGACTGAGCTGATTTGTAGAACCAGTCTTTTAGCTCTGAGATTCTTTCCTCAGCTTGATCAGTTCCAACGTTAGTACTTCTAATTGTATTATGAAATTCTTGTAGTGAATTTTTTAGTTCTAGAAATTCAGTTTGATTCTTTATTTAAATGGTTATTTCATCTTTTTGTTCTTGTATCATTTTACCAGCTTCCTTATATTGGGTCACAACTTCCTCCTAGATCTTCATGGGCTTCTTTGCCATACAGATTCTGAATTCTATGTCTGTCACTTCAGACATTTCAGACTGATTGAAAACCGTTGCTGGAGACCTGTTGAACTTGTTTGAAAGTAGGAGACACTCTGGCTTTTTAAATTTCCAGAGTTGTTGCACTGATTCTTTCTCCTCTGGGAGGGTTGATGTTCTTTTAACTGTGGTGTAACTTGTGTGTGGTCAATTGCCTTCATTTCTAGATACTTTCACAGGGCCAGGGCTCTGGACAGGGTCTTTATGGCTGAATTCTTGCCCTTGATTTCACAGGGAAGTATGTTAGAAAAATACTTTTTGTATTATAGTTTAGGCTGCAATTCAGTAAATGGTGCAGTTGTGTTCTGCAGTTCAAGGGACAGAGAAGTGACCCCTCTTACCTGGCCCACTCCTGGGCTTTGAGGCAACCCCATCTTATCACTGGCCCTGCACCCACATTTCTTTTGTTAGTGGTTCCAGGCTGTGGGGTTCCCTAGGCAGAGGCCATAACAGGGAGATAGGCACACACCCTTTCCAGGACTGCCCTGTAGAGGAAGGCACATCCCACTCCCACTCCAGCCCACAAACCCACACATCTCACCCGTATTATTGCTGTGAGAGTGTGGGCTTCTCTCCCGCTCAAGTGCTGGCCATAGATCTCAGATTGGCCCTCCTAAGTTACATGTTGCAGCCCTGAGGGCCCAAGATCAGCTGGCGGCTTTGTCCTTTGGACCCTCTGAGTCAGGTTCTGGGTGTGACTGGGTATCTGAAGTGCTCCCAGGCTGCAAGGAACATAATCAGGTGGATCAAAGCACCCTGGCTAGGCAGCGGAGGCTGCACTGTGCACATGGTCTTGCAAGGAGGTCATACAGGTGCCACGGGAGGGCCTGCAAAACAGATGTGCCCTAGTCCCATGGGTAAGTCGGTGCCACATTCTCTTTGCCCAGCGGTCAGCTGGGACTAGAGATTATTGGACGGAGATGAGGAGCCCTGGGTAATGGAAGCCTATGGCCACACTCCACCAGAGCTACACCATGCACAAAGACCCCTGGTTCCACACCAGCTGAAACCCTGTCTCAATCTACTCTGTGGGCAGATCCCTCTGTCAGCTCAAATGTCCATGGAAGACATGGGATCACCTTCAGCCAGGATTCCAGAGGTTTTCAGAGAAGGTGGGCAGTCCCACACTCCCTTTACTCACCCATTTCCCAGGAGCCATTTGGAATACCCCACGTAGGGTTCCCAGCCTCCTCCTTCCTCAACCTCAGTGTCTGCTTCACATCTCCATCCACTATTGGTGTTTTCTCTCTGAAGATCTGTTCAAATTACATTTGTTTACTCAAAACCTTGGTCTGTCTCCATGAAAGTGACGTTTCCCGGCCGTGTCTAGTCAGCCATCTTATCCCTGCCACCAAAAAAAAAATACCTAAACCCACTTTAGATATAATGACATACACTAGATTAACCAAAAATTCTGACAACACCAAGTGTTTGCAAAGATGTGAAGTAATCCTCTTATGGTGCTGGTGGAAAATTCTGTCAGTGTCTACTCAAGATGGGTTTCTGTCATACAGTATATTACTGTCATAAGGAGAGCACAAGGGATTGCAATTCCAAATTGACTAATTAATTATCAATTGTCAGCATCTCTGTTAAGGAGAATTCAAAACCTGTCAAACTTGGAGCATTCGGGGCTGTGATACTTGGGGATATATTCCAATATTAAGAAATTTGGCCTTAACAAGAAGTGTAAGGAAAGTAATATGGATCAAAGCCTAACCTACCATGTTCCACCAAGGTTAGACATTTTGTGTAAATTGCCTATTCTACAAGGGGCATCATTTCAATTGCAAGCTATGTAAATGGAATGCTCCAGACCTATGAAGTACACTCTCCGATGATTTTAAGTGACGGTCCTTTCCATGAGCAGATAACTAAACAAACTGAGGACTGGATATAAAGAATCACATGTAAAAATTCACTTGGGTTCACCTAAAACTAACAGTTGAAAGAAAATAGAGAAGATGCCTGTAAGTATACCTTTGTAAAATATTTTCAGCAGACAATAACAATAACTAATAAGACCTTGACCATAAGTACTGGTCAATGTTATGAGTGAAAGGTCAACAGTTTTTGTGCACACTGCTAGATTTAATTATTAAAATAATAATTTAAGTGGCAATCATAATGTAAAATGAAAGATATTGCTTTCAAATAGATTATATATTTAAGCATTTATAAAAGAAAATAAAATAGGAAGCAGCCGAACTTACAAATGAAAGAGCGTTAACATTTCTATCTAACTTTACGTTAGGTAAAATAAAGCAGTGAAGTATTTTGTTGGTATACAGCAATTATGAGCAATTGGTGCCAATCACAGTAAATTGGATAGAAAGTGGTAATAACTACAGTATTAATAGATAAGTTTTTCCCCCTGTAGTATGATATGTCAAAATGTTGACCATACAATAGATTATATTTAAAAAGAAGTGCATTTTCCCCCACAATATCTGTGAAACAGTCTCTGTTAACACATTTTCCCACTAAAGTATTTTGTAAATAAATAAAAGATTTTTCAAAATGAAATTATATTAAAGCCATGCTTCATTATGAAATCTGGTATACACATATAAATTAGCTTCGTAAAGTATTCCATTGGTTCTGAAACTAGATTCACTGCCTAGTAAAAATACAGATAATACAGAGAGCACATTTATTCTTAAAAGTTACCACCACATGCAATCTATCAAAACACTGTGGCAGTAATGTGTTATGTGACCCCCGTTAATGTCTCATCATGTAGAAGCTTATTTTTGAAGAGCTTCTAATCGCTTTCATAATTCACCTATAGGGCACAGAAAACCTTACTCTTATGCTAGCCACTACTAGTTAAAATTCCCAAGCTTAAGGTAAATGCCCATCATCAGTATAATAAATTTTTGAAAAGAAAGGAACTGATTGTCTACTTTGTGGCCATATCTTAATGGGAGACAAAGTAGGGAATAATTTTAACAACTGGAAATTTATCTGTTAACTCTCAAGTCTGCATTTGTTTCTTACTCCTAGTATTAATTATTCTGGCAGAAAAAAGCCAGATGAAATACATTTGGAGAAAGTTATAAATCAAATACTGAATTAAGTAAAAAGGATTTGTATCACTTTTCAGAAGAAAAGACACAGATAGTGACCTATTATGAAAGACATTAAATAGTCTTTTCTATAAGCCCTGCAAAAATTGAGCTGAACATGGAATCATCTTCCATTATCTCCTCCATATATTTCTTGGGTACTCAACTTCTACGCAGGGGAAAAAGTAAGAATTTCCCAAAGATATAATCTTTGTAAATTGATTTATTTAATTTTTCAAATATTTATTTGAAGAAAAGTTATTAATTACCTTCTGTATTAATAAGAATACAGTTGGTGGCAAAGAATAGAACACCATCAAAAATTAATTAATGATAAAATGATGAGTTATTTCACCTGAATTCTAAGATTCAAATAAATAACATCAGATTTCTTTCTCTTTCATTGGCTCAGTTTTGCTTACCTTCCATTTTTATCTCATTCTTATTTCTTTCTCTGCAGATAGCCTGTGTTTACTTGCTTGGAAAGAAGAAATTCCAGCAGCTTCAGACTTAATATCCTTGTTAGGTAAAATCCAAAAAGAGAAGGTAAATACTACCTACTTACAGTTCAGAAAATTCTGGGCAATGGGACACTTTGGACTATATGCCTATACTCCAGGTATGGTTCAATGAGCAATAATCACACCAGGACCACAAGTAGTAGTTATCTACTCAGCCAACACTTTCCTAAATTTATGCTGTACTCTCTCAACTGGTTGGCTAGCCTTCCTTGTTGTGTTCCGAACACCTAAAACCATGCCTTGTACACAGTAATGCCTGGTCTACAATTATATGATTGTATACATCAGTGGTTCTTAAAGCATGTTCCAGAATCTCTCAGGATTTTTAGACACCTTCACAGGGTCCACAATATCAAAACTATTTTCATAAAAATACAAAGTTCAAAAAGTTGATTGACATGGCTTCAGAGTTTGCATTACCAGTAACTTTCGGAAACAACCATTTAAGTTTTAGTATAGTATCAGGAAAAATATCTACAAGTATCTAAGAAAAGTATTAAAATACCCTTCCCTTTTTCAACTATATGTCAACTATCTACTTTATATTCTTTGATCCTAAAATTACATAGCAAGAGATTAAAAATGGATGCATTTATAAGAATCCAGCTCTCTTATAATAGCTAGGTATTAAAAATTTGCAAAGATATAAAACAAGGCCACTCTTCTCTTTTTTAATTAATTTATTTATTAATTTGTTTACACAAGATCTCACTCGGTCACCCAGGCTGTAGTTCAGTGGCACAATCACAGCTCACTACAGCCTCATCCTCCTGGGCTTAAGCAATCTCCCATCTCAGCCTCCTGAGTGGCTGAGACTACAGATATGTGCCACTTCGATTGGCTGTTGATGCTTTTTTAATTTTTTGTAGAGATGGGGTCTTACTACATTGCTTTTGAACTCCTGGGTTCAAACAGTTCGCTCACCTTAGCCTCCCAGGGTGCTGGGATTGCAGGTGTGAATCACTGCTCCTGGCTTCTATTTCTTGTTTTGAAAAATATGGTTGTTAGTTATAAAGGTGTATTATTTATATCAACATGCCATGGTTTTAATTTTTTAAACTTTTCATAAGTTTCTACAGATATATTTACAATTTTGTTTGTTACTTTTAATACAGAAAATATCAGTACATAAAACCCATATAAACAAAAGGTCACTGGTGTCCTCGATAAATTTTTAGAGTGTTCAAGAGCTTTTGACCAAAAAGTTTGTGAACCACTGCTATATGCACATAAATATATAAATATATATAATATAGTAAACCAAATACAATTCTGCATGAGCAATTGAACTGATTTTACTAAGAGGCTAAATTGTTGTCAGCCTGCGCTCGGCACTTTCCAACAAAGAGTCCTTCCAGATCAGAGCATCAAGGGTACCAAAACAATATTGTGTATTTTAAAGTATGTACATCAGGTTTCTTCATGAGACTGAAAGTGAAATATTTTCCACAATTTTAAATTTCACTAGAGCATTTTCTTCTGTACACTTCTTCTGAGACTGAAAGAACGGCAATTATGAAAAGTCTAATGCAAATATGAAGTGGAATGTTTCCACTTCAAAATTTCCACTTTAAAATTTCCAAAATTTTAAATTTCACAAGAGCACTTTCTTCTGTACGCTGAAGACAGAGCATGAATAAGACACTCAGAATGTCTGCTCTCATAGAGTTTACGTACGTTTGGCTGCATACAGAGACCATGCAGGTAAACAAAATAGACAAGATACTTCCAGATTCTTATTAGGGTTTTTAGAAAAGAGTAAAAGAAATAAATAAGCTAGTAAGAGACTTGCGAAGAGTCCATAAGAATTTAAGTGAGGTACAGGAATGTCTCCATGAGGTGAATTTTGAACTGAGATTTGAATGACAAAAAGAAACCACACAGCAATAGATGTTTGGGAAAAAAATTTAAGACTTTGGTTTTGAACATAATATGTTTGAGTGTCATACGACAACCAGGTAAAAATTTTGAGTAAGCATTTTTATAGAAAAGTCTGTAGTTACTGGGAAACATAGAAGGCCATATTATCTCCGCTGTGAATCTGCAATCTAACAGAGCCCAACCAACTACACACTAAATGAATATTTGTTGAGTAAATAAATTAATGAAGCATCTACTTCCCTGACTGTTAATTTTTACTCCTCATGTAGTCTTCTATTTAATTAGTTCATTATTAATTACCTTCCAATCTTGCTCCATATGAGGAGTAATGACATAAACAGGAAATCTGAGCCTTCCACTTACTGAAATCTTGCTAAATAGGTTCTTAAATTGAAATGCTTCTTATCAATTGAAATAGCATTAATACTTACCTACTATATGAAAAATCACTGGAATAACTAAGAAAATTGAAGTTTCTGCTACTATATCTGCCTATTATAAGTGTTTACCATGACAGGCTCTGCCTAAGATGAACATATGTATTCATGTATGTGTTCGTTCATTCATTTATTCATTCATTTTTGATAAACACTTGTTGAGTCTTTACTCTGCTGCAGCAATTTCCTAAGTATTAAAGATACTCACACATAAGGAGATTGTCTGTCTCTGCTTTATAGGCCAGAGCTGGAGACTGTCTGTGCCTTATAGGCCAGGATGGTAACCAGTACTTTGGATTCAAGAGAATGGCAATTATGAAAGGTCTAATGGAAATATGAAGTGGAATGTTCTATCAACTTCCTGGGGAAGTTAGGAAATATTTTGTAATATTTACATGAAACTTGGAACACAGGGTGAGAAAGGCCAGTCCAAGCAAGGGCAATAGCATGTCATCTAATTGGCATATTATAAAAACATTGTGGTACTATTTATTTATTTATTTATTTATTCATTTATTTATTTATTTATTTTTGAGACGGAGTCTCGCTCTGTCGCCCAGGCTGGAGTGCCCTGGCGCGATGTCGGCTCACTGCAGGCTCCGCCTCCCGGGTTCACGCCATTCTCCGGCCTCAGCCCCCTAAGCAGCTGGGACTACAGGCGCCGGCCACCTCGCCCGGCTAATTTTTTGTATTTTTAGTAGAGACCGTGTTTCACCATGTTAGCCAGGATGGTCTCTGTCTCCTGACCTCGTGATCTGCCCTCCTCGGCCTCCCAAAGTGTTGGGATTACAGGCGTGAACCACCGCGCCCGACCGGTAATATTTTTAAAGAGAACCTGAAAAGGTTGGTGGAAGGGAAAGAGAAGAAAGCAGGAAAATAGGGACAGAGAACAGAATAGGAACGTTATTTGAAAAATTCAAGGGAACTCCCTGAACTGAGGCAGTGACAGCTGGGATGAAGAGTGGCTTCCAAGTTTCAGTCTTTGAACTTTGGGAACAGATAATGTCATTCATCTGGAGGTGCTGAGGGTAAAATGGAAGATTAGAATACCCAAATGGAAGTATCAGATGGGCATATCTGGAAGGAGGTTGAAATTTAATCTTTAAAGCATTGTTACATAAGTGACAATTTAAGAAATGACCATGAATATGATCACCCAGCAAAAGTAAAGAGACGATTGGAGAGGTAGGACCTAATAAAAACATGTTTAGATAAAGGAAAAAGAGCATATGTAAAAAACTGAGTAGACAGAGATACAAATATGGAAGAAAGGAGATGCAATGTCTTGAAAACCAAAAGAAGACAGTACTTTGAGGATAAATTAAATAGTGCCAGATGACACCACTGTGAGTTTTAAAGTATAATATTTTAAATCAATTTTGATGTAGTGATGCAAGATGGAAAAGAATAATGTCCTACTATCGTTTAGACCAATGTCTATAATTTTGCTGGGAGATTATGTGGAGTTTTGAACAGTGTAATTCAAGAAAATGGTCTTTGGAGAAGGTTTAAAAGATAATTAAAATGCTACAAGATTTGGCACAGCAACAGAAGATTAAAGAAAGTACAGATCTCCAGTCTATGGAAAGGATAATTTAACGTAGTTCCTTGAGTAGTTCTCACTTATATGGAGAACTCTTAAATGGAGATTGTCATCTGGAACAAACCTTTGGAAGTCAAGAAGTTGAGACCTGAATATTTCACTGGGAAATGCACTATTCTAGTTTAGAAGAGTAGAACTAGTTTGTGATAAATAAAGAGAAATGTATGTGTGAATTTGTTTGGGGTGGGAAGCATTAGGGAGGAGTTATATAGCCACACATTATGGTACCTAAGGAAACACTAATGTTTAATTCAAGAAAATAATGTCATATTGAAGTATTTTGGGAAGTTTTATTTTCAGAAAAAAATAAATATACATGATTGTGTTTGTAGACTACATGAATGTAGCATTTTATGGAGATTAAATAGCTTTTGCTTCAAGTTAATAAGTGAGTAATACTATGTCACTTTAATATTCCCTCTAAGTTTCAACTGTAGATGCAGCTTTATATTTCTAGAATGAGTATGGCAAGCACAGTAAAACCTTGCTTTTCATCTCCAGTGGCTTCTGAACCTGGAAGATATCGTAAGCATTAGAGTCATTATTTAATGTTTATTAGATACTCTGGGATCATATGAAGGTTGAAGCTATAATTTAGTAATAAAATAAATATAAGCCTGCTCTATTTTTGTTGCAATCCAATAAAATAATGTAAATCTAAGTTATCCTTATAATTCTGGTTTAGGATGTATTTTTATTGATCTTAATAGTATGAAAATAGCAAAACATTGTCTGCTTAGCTATACATAAAACTAGACTTTAAATGATAGAATAGTATATTTAGAAATATATGACTGGCCTTTCATAACTAATGGTTTGTGATTTATTATTTTACTTCCTTCCATAAAAGTGGACTTTAAGAGACTGACAGATACTTAAAAAAATTGAGGGACTTCTTCCTGTCCAAATTTATGATGGACTTTATTATGCTTCCAAGAAGGAAAAGGATAGCTTCAAGTATGGTGATCTTGAGTATAAATTCAGCCATTATTGATTATGTTTTACTCTAGTTGAAATTGCTAATCCTTCAGTTGATAGCAAATGAAAGTAGAGTAGTCTGATTATTTCACTTTGAATTTTAAAAGGCACACAGTCAAGTTTAAACTTAGCCATCTAAAAATAAAATAATGGAAAAAGGTGTTGTCAGCTAACTAAACAAAAATAGATATGTTTTCATTACTTCAAAAATAATGAAAATATATTTTAGTAAAGAAGAAATCAACACTCCATTTCCCAACATTATTTTAGAAACAGATCTTAGAATGACAATGTAAGAAGACCAGATGGAAAACACAGGAAATAAAAATTAGATTTTTGAAATAATTTAGTATATGGTATAATAGAATCTGGAAACTAAATCTGTGCTTTACAAATATAATTAATTACACAAAATTTACCAAATATCTTTTTCATTTGGGCTTACATAAAAAAATAAAGTGTATATGTGTGCATACATATACGCACTTATATAGTGTCTGCATATTCAAACTTGTGTAATATAAAACATACATTCAGGTACAATGTATGCAGATTTTTGTGAGTGTGTATGTGTGTATAAATATGCATATGTTTTAAACTATCTTGGTCTCAATGAAGTGAAACAGAAAATTGGAAACCATTCAGTTGTTTTATAAATTGTGTAAAAAATAAATTACAAAACCTTTTTTGAATGTCATAACACCTAGTATGGTACTAAATTTAACCAACTGTAGCACATTATAAATTATTTTCACAAACAGCTTTCTGTTATGACCATAATAGAAATCATTGCTAATAGTTTCCTCATTGGAACTTGTACTTTGTGTTTAAAGAGAACTTCAAAGGCAATTGCAAAGAAAATAATAGTAACAATCATTTCTTTTCAGTTCAATATGAGAAAAATGACACACAATCTAAATTAATATTAATGTATTATATATGTAATTTCACATTTTGGTTAAATAGTCCGTTTATCCAAACTTCAGGGCCCAATTTTAAAAATCAGTGTCTGTAATTTTTAAAATCAAATGCCATTGAACAGAGTTATTTGTACATTTTTTACAGCTGTGCAACATCAAATATGATCAGAACTTCATAGTTAAAAATACATAGAAAATTTATTAAATTATTTTGATCACTGAGATCAATATTTCAATGTAATTTTTTCATATGGCTTCTTTTGAAAAAAATAAAAGGGTGGACCATGGAATTGAAGCAATTGACTGTTAAAGGCTTTTATGGTTTCAAATAATATGATTAACCTTAGAGAAATCTATGCTGAAGAAGATGACTATCAGTCATGAGATAATTTCGACCTATTAATATATATTCTTGTGAATAATTTAAACTATGTATAAAAAGAAATCACAGAGCACTTTAATATATTTATATAAAGTGTTACAAGTAATTCATTCATTAAAAGCTATTAAACTTACTATTACCCTAGACTATAAAAGGTGCTTAGAATAAAGACATGCATAGAATGCGGTTCTTCAACTTGAGAATTGGAGTATCTCATGCAGGGGGTAGACACTGTAATCTAGCTTCTATATCTCTGAATCTATCATCTGTATACCCATCTTTCTCACTTCTATCAGGCCACAATAGCCTACCCTTATTCCTCAGTTGCCACAAAGACTTTCCCACCTCAGTTGTTTGTGCTTGAGTTTCCCTCTGCCTGGACTGCTTGACATGAGTCCTTCTCAGTCTCCAGATCTTTGACATCCAGTGCTATTTGCCTATACTTCCTTGTATAATAGTCAGTATGCCTCATCTTTCCTTAAAATGTAGTTTAGGAGACAGAGATCATATTTGTTTTAAGCCAAATATAACAGCAGTCTACAATTTTCTAAGCTCCTTTGCTGTTAGAGCACAAGTAGTTCTCAGTTGTGAGGATACAAATTAAGCAAAAATCTGCTGTGCACTTTTTTATGAAAGCTTTTGCTTCCCTAAAAACAGACATAGATGTGACTATTCCTTACATCTTTCTGCTTGGATCAGAAGTAGGAAAAAAAAGTTATTGCAGCGAGGTATGCAAAAAAGTGAAGGAAACTTCAATCAGGTTAAAGAAGTGTGATGGAAGAGGACTGATATATTAAAGAGACCTATGGGTTGAATCTATGCTTTAGTGATGAATTATAAGAAAAAAGATAATGCCATGCAAGTATTACAAAAGGAGAAACACTTTAGGCAGAACAATGAAATCAGTTTGATTCATATTGATTATGAGATTCCTATAGAACAGTAAGTTGCCATATGTCATGATGATTGCTAGGCAGTAGTTAATCCTAGATTGAAAGTCTAAGAAATTGTCAGGTCTGAAGATACAAACATACAGGTGTTTGTTGAGAATATGGGAGTAGACAGATTCCTTTCATACAGTGCATAGAGAATAAAATGAAAAGAAGGTCCAGGAGCAAACTTTGGGAAACCCAATATTGAATGGGCAAGGATGAAGAGAAAGAGAAAGAAAGTGAGAGAGAGAGATGGAGAAGTTATAGTTAAAGACCTAGGAAATCAGAAAAAAAATTCTCAGGATGCAATTAAAAGGACAGTACCATATTTGGTGATAAAATATTTTAAGTGTTAACAATATATCAAGTTAGAAGACAATGTCAGAATGCATGCTGGATTTAATATTTAAGACGTCTGCACTCAGAACAATAGAAAAATATATGTTACATATAAATTATTTTTTGACTGATACACATTTATGTACATAACTCTGCTTTTTGCAAAATAAGAGCAGTTAAAGAGGAAAGGTCCACTTTAGTGCTTGACAGTGGACATCTCTCCACTCTAGTCAATGTGATAGTAGAGCCAAATATAATTTAATTTCAGAAATCAGAAGATATTATACCTACAACTCACAACTTAAATTGAGAGCACTACTGAATATGACTACCTAGTGAAAAATAAAGAGTATATAACTCGTCAATGTATATAACTCTATCAGAAACAACCTACACATTCTCAAGTTACAGTTTCCAGTCGTTTTAAGAACATAAAATGACAAAAAACTACTAGTTCATATTATTGAGCTGGGAGCAGTAGCTCCCATCATTCCCTCAATATGAGAAAAAATCTCTCTATTTATTGAGGGATGTTTCCAACTTAGATTTATATAGCAAACACTGAATTTGGACCTCCACATTACATGGTACAGTAGTTTTTGTATACATGATTATTTGGCTCTGTATAAGTTATTTTGAATTCTTATGGCTACTTCCTCTTTATGCATCATGAGCAGTTTATTGCTGTAACAAAATTCTCTGACATTCTCCCAAGAAGGACCTTTTTATTTTTGTATGCCTTTTCAGCAATTGTGTTCTTTATTGTTTCTTTAACTTTTTGCTAAACTTTAAAATGCATATAGAAAATTGCACATATCATAATCATAAAGCTTGCTGAATATTTACAAACTAAACACAACTAAATAATCAGCACCCAGGTCAAGAAATAGGATTACTCCAAGACCCAGAATCCCTCCTCGTTCACCTTCGGATAGTCCCCAACAAAGGGTAGCCATTATCCTGAATTCTAATACCATATATTATTTAGCTTCTTTTTGTACTTTATATCAAGATAATTTATAATGTGTGTTACTTTGTGTTATATTTTATTAGCTCAACCTTATATTTGTGAGAGTGCTCATATTCTGTATAATTATAGATGATTTATTCTTATTGCTATATAATAATCCATTGTATACCGATAATTACACTGTATCTATACATCTACTTTGACTGGTCATTTGAATAGACTTTTGTTTTGTTTGTCTGTTTTATGGAAGCTATCTTTTTTGTTTTCTTTTAATGTATTGCTTTTTGTGAGTGTTTCCCACAAATAGAGATTCCAGAAATATTCTCAAAATGGGTTTTGGTGAACTTATATAACACTTTCTTGAAATGATTCCTTCTTAAAATGTGATGCTCAACTTTGGTCAATACTGCCCATTTTTCCATACTGAATAAGAGTTTTTGTTGCTTCATACCCTGCCCAAGAAATTGTAGTGGCTGTTTTTCACTGTAGACATTATAGTGAATTTGTAGTATATCTCACTGTGGTCTTAACTTGCATTTTTCTGATAACCAATGTAGTTTAGAACTTTTCATATGTTTGCTGATCTTGGCAACTTGGATCTTTTTTATTGAGTATCTGTTCAAATCTTTTGCTCATTGCGTTTATTTATCTTTTTCTTATACTATTACTTTGTAAGTGTTCTTTGCTTATTTTGAATACAATTTCTTTTTTTCTTTTTGGGTACCTATACTGTGAAACTGTTTCCCACTCTGTGGGTTGCCTATTCATTCTATATATGGTGTCTTTTGAAGAATAGAACCTCTTATTTTAAGGCATTCCAAATTACCATTTTCCTTTATCACGAGTTCCATTTAAGACATCATAATTCCTCCAAAGTGATAAAGATACTACATAATTTTTTTCTAAAATGTTCACTTCATTGGTATTTGATTTTTGTGTATGGTGTGAAGTAGTAGTCAAGACATATACATAAATGCATACACATACATATATGAATATATGCATATTTAAACAATGCATATTTAGCTAAACCTACTTACTTCAGTTTTACTTTGATAACATAAATGGAAAAAATTCTAAAGCTGCATATTATAGAACCCATTATTTTAAAGTGGCAACCTAAAACCTTTGAGGCTTTCTTACAGTTTTAACATGCAAACTATTGCAATAAGACAAGACCATGCTATCCTGACACCTACTATAGAGAGTTAATTACAATGAAACACAGAAAATCACATACTAACACTGCGTTCTCATTATGAAGATCCTGTAATGCAAAGCCCACACAGAAAGCACTGAGCCATGGAGAAATGGAGACACAGAGGCTAGAAGGCAGAGTAGAGACATATATAAAAGAGTTCTACTGGCCGGGCACGGTGGCTCACGCCTGTAATCCCAGCACTTTGGGATGCTGAAGCGGGTGGATCCCAGCACTTAGGGAGGCTGAGTTCGGGAGTTTTAGAGCAGCCTGGCCAACAGAGTGAAACCCCGTCTCTACAAAAAATACGAAAATTAGCTGGGCATGCTGGCGTGCACCTGTAGTCCCAGCTACTCGGGAAGCTGAGGCAGGAGAATCGCTTGAACCTGGGAGGCAGAGGTTGCAGTGAACCAAGGTCCACCATTGCACTCCAGCCTGGGTAACGAGCTAAACTCCGTCTCAAGAAAAAAAAAAAGAGAGAGAGAGAGAGATCTATTTAGTGAAAGTTTTCATAAGAAACTAGACATACTATAAAATTCATACGCTCTACTCTGTTTTCCCCACAACAATCTTTAGTAAATTTCTAACCCACTTAATAAAGAATAGTGATTTGAAAGAGCACCAAGTTAGTAATCTAAAGATGGCAATTGTATTTCTCAAATCCTTGTGCATAATGGATTTCACTTTATAAAGTCATGTCACATCAGTAGTCCTGGTAATATATACCCTGTAATGTTTCATGTGTTTGGGTATAAGTAGTCTCTTATAATGTCTGAAAATGTAGAAAACTGTGGTGGATACAGAATGACAAACAATATCAGGAGCAGATGTACACAGGAGATTTCAGCAGGCTTTCTTGTCCAGCACATCATTCATTAGATGGCCCAAGATATTTTTATAAGAAATGACAGAAGGCCGGGCGCGGTGGCTCACGCCTGTAATCCCAGCACTTTGGGAGGCCGAGGCGGGCGGATCACGAGGTCAGGAGATCGAGACCATCCCGGCTAAAACGGTGAAACCCCGTCTCTACTAAAAATACAAAAAATTAGCCGGGCGTAGTGGCGGGCGCCTGTAGCCCCAGCTACTTGGGAGGCTGAGGCAGGAGAATGGCGTGAACCCGGGAGGCGGAGCTTGCAGTGAGCTGAGATCCCGCCACTGCACTCCAGCCTGGGCGACAGAGCGAGACTCCGTCTCAAAAAAAAAAAAAAAAGAAATGACAGAAGACATAAAAGTTACACTGTTTAAAGTGTTTCTGAGTCAAATGACATTGATGGTTTAAGTTACTGCAATATACAGACACAAAAAAAGAGAAATACATTCTCAGAAAAAAACATTTGCCTCTTAACACCCAAAGTTCAATACTGAGGAATCATTAAGTTTATCAGAGATTTCTTTTAACATTTTAAGTGTAAAGATCAGTTACTACTAATGCCTAACTTGCTTCCATGGGAAAATAAAAGCAGCATTTTTTACCTATCTATATATTATGAACTTTATTAGGCTACTCACATTTTGCTCTATTTTAGACTTGATTTCAAACTCAAAGAATAGTTTGTCTGCCTTGGAGCTCACAGCAGATCGTAAACCAGAAAATATGCTCAAGAAACATCTATTCTGAAGTTTTACGAAATAATAAGTAATGAGCGTATTATCCTTTACTACAGAGAGGAGAAGTTCTTCTTTGGTGGCCGTATGCTTACATGTATATTGTAAAAACAAAAAAGATGCATTATTTTATTAATACAGAACTCAATAATTCGGAAAAATTCAATCATTCAATAATTTTTGTGTCTTGATAAAACTTTTCTTACGACAATGTAATGGCATCGTCCTGATTATGGGTAGTTTCTTGAGTATGGCAGTGGAAGAGCGGTCACCTGCTTATGATAGATACGACAGTAGTTCTCCTGGAACTTAATCTTACAGCATGGCTTTCCTAAAATCTCAACCAAAAATCGTTCCTGTTTTAGCACTACTCAGGATTATGTAAGCCATTTAACAATCTTTAACAAATTCCTTCCTGCTTAAAATACCTACAGGGGACTTTTTTTTTTCCCAATTGTATTTTGACCAACAGTGTTTGTGGTAAGAATTACATGTAATGTGTATTGTTTAACAACATGATTAGGATACAGTCAAGGTTCAACAAAGGTTAGTGAGAATCATGATTATTGAGAAGTTCTCAAACTTACATGAAGCATTAGCTATAGTTAACCAATTATAGATAAAATACATTCCTAAAAAGTTTAAAAACAAAGTAAATTCATGGGAATTTTGAAATATGACTGGCTGTGTTCTACAATTCATCCTTGTTGTCAATTGTAACTTACTTTAGAGATGTTAAATTCAGTGTGAAGAGTCTAACAGCATTCTGCCTCACTTATAATTCAGAAAATATTAAAAACTCATTACTGATTGCCTGCTTTGAAACAGAGTATGGAACATAAGATATAGTTGATGACTGAATGAAGGAATACAACTTATCTTTGGTTGTACTCCAAGCTTATTTTTCTAAATTTTGAATTCAAGCCAGAAAGGATGCTATTCTGCTCCATCTGATAAAAGGAGAAAATAAGTTTGTCAGACCAGATGAAGGCAATTCAGTCCTCGTTGCTTCGCATTTTAGTGTTCTTCACAATTATAGAAAATTTGTGCATAATGGGAACATTGGAATATAAGTTTTTGGTTTGTTTGTTTGTTTGTTTTAAGACAGTTTCACTTTGTAGTCCAGGCTGGGGTACAGTGGCATGATCTTGGCTCACTGCAACCTCTGCTTTTGGGGTTCAAGTGACTCTCATGCCTCAGCCTCCTAAGAAGCTGGGGTTACAGGCGCACACCACCCCTCCTAGCTAATTTTTGTATTTTTGTTAGAGACGGGGTTTCACCATGTTGATTGGCCAGGCTGATCTCGAACTCCTGACTTCAAGTGATCTTCCCACCTTGGCTTCCCAAAGTGCTGGGATTACAGGCATGAGCCACCATGCCCAGCCAGAATATAAGGTTTTGAACACCAGAGCTGTCTTACTTATTGAATCTCATGGTCTTATCTCAGGACCTGTAGTACTGGCTCACTTAAAAATCACTATTTTTGCCATCATTAATATCAGAGCAACAGCAAAAAGTCTACCAGTTATTGTCACTTTATAAAATGTTCATATGACAATGCTTGAGAAAAATCATTACAAACTCAAATTTACCTAGGGGCTCTGAGGCTCAGGGAAATTACCCACAGTTACAAAGACAGCGGCAAAACCAAACATCAAACACAGATTTGTTTAAAACAAATGTTAATGAGTGAATAACAGAAAGCAGCTTTGGTGTGAAATATTGTTTTTCCTATGGTATTCCAGAGATTATGCCACTATCTGCCTTTTCTATTATTTTTATCAGATAAGCACAATGGGAATTTACTGACCATTCTGTTTCTACAACTAAAGTTGTTATGGCTGTTCAAGTTTCTCCCCTAGCTTAAAGAAACAAAAATAAAATAAATAAGAATGTCCTGCTTGAAGCCAAATTATTCTCTGTGACTAAGTCAAAAAGATATTTAGAAAAAAATGTTTTATTAAGAAATAGAAAACTGCCAAAGAAAAAAAGATACATCTACATTGATTATGCAGATTCCATAGGGAAAAAATGACAAATATTTTCATTTTTTTATTTTTTGAGATGGAGTCTCGTTCTGCTGCCCAGGCTGGAGGTGCAGTGGTACAATCTCAGCTCACTGCAAGCTCTGTCTCCTGGGTTCACACCACTCTCCTGCCTCAGCCTCCCCAGTAGCTGGGACTACAGGTGCCCGCCACCGCGCCTGGCTAATTTTTTGTATTTTTTAGTAGAGACGGGGTTTCACCATGTTAGCCAGTACAGTCTCGATCTGCTGACCTTGTGATCCACCCACCTCAGCCTCTCAAAGTGCTAGGATTAGAGGCGTGAGCCACCGCGCCCAGCCCAATATTTTGATTTTTTAAAACATTAAAGTATAACATAAAATAGTGAATTTTTTTTGGAAAACTACTGTATGTCTATACAATTTTCTCTGCAGAATGTGTCAATTATTCCTAGAAGTCACATCATTTCATTAAAGACAAGTCACATTAGGAAGATACAATTATAAAGAGTTGGAACGCTATCCAGGTATGCCTTCTGCTCCAAAGTTAATTTGTCTCTGCTTTTATGGCATAATAAAAAAAATTACATTACTTCTCAGATTAATGCAAAACATCAACCTGAATTGAGCAGCTTTATTCACAAATCCTTTCAATTTATATTTATTTAAACCATACTAAGCACTGGACTTGGCACAAAGCTCCTGAGTAAAAAAATGAATTCTTTATAGTTCCTGATTTTGAGAAGATTTATTTCAAACAAAACCCTGCAAATAGAAGAATCCTAAATAGTAATCATCAAAATAGTAATTTAAATTAACATGGAAAAGAACCTTCAAAATGCTTTTCATTTTATTGCTCTAAAATATCTAGAGTTCATTTGGATGATAATACATAGATAAGATAGTAACTGATATATTCAGCAAAAAGTTAACTATTCTTACACAAATTTAAAATTCCTCTGTGGTTGTTATATTAAATTCTTTATTTCATCAACATATTGCTTTAATATGTAAGTATTATCACATCAACAAAATGAAGTAGTACCCACCACAACACTTACGGTAGGAGCATACATATTTATTACCTATAAATTATAATAGAGGTAATCTACTCACACATGATTGAGTTTCATTTGTCTTCTGTAATCTCTACTTAAATCTAATCTTCACAAATAAATTATCCTCTACCTGCTTTCACTCCAAAATCTCTTACCTCATAAGTACACCTTAGACAATTCTTATATATTGTCTTTCTCATTTCTAAACATTTTGTATATGGTTTTTTGTTTTTGTTTTCGTTTTTTTCCTGAGATGGAGTTTTGCTCTTGTCACCCAGACTGGAGTGCAGTGGCACGATCTTGGCTGACTGCAACCTTCACTTCACGGGTTCAAGAGATTCTCCTGCCTCAGCCTCCTGAGTAGCTGGGATTACAGGCATGCGCCATTATGCTCAGCTAATTTTTGTATTGTTAGTAGAGACGGGGTTTCACCATGTTGGCCAGGCTGGTCTCGAACTTCTGACCTCAGATTATCCTCCTGCCTTGGCCTCCCAAAGTTCTGACGTTATAGGCATGAGCTACTGTGCCCAGCTTGTATATGGTTCTTAGATGTCACTAGATAATAAACTCCCTGAAGCCAAAAGTCATTCTTTGATTCATTTTCAAATAACAATAGTTTTCATCAAATCTAGATAAGTCAAAGACAGGTCTAGAAAATTAGCATATGACCCATTAAGGAGTGAAGAATTAACAGGGATTCTCTGGGCAAAAAGTAATTGAGAATGTTTTATACACAATGAAGTAGTTTATGTTTTAACCAGTAAGGCAGTGCGGTGTTCAAGCAATATTAGCAGTGAAAATCATTTAAAATGTTATTTGATATCTTACATATGAAAGTAGAACGCTAATAGTTAGAATAGTAACCCAAATATCCAAATATCTTCTTGTCACAACCCCATCTTCAACACAACTGGCTCTATCTTCTAAGTTTAAAGATTTTTAAATTAAGATCATGGTTTCATGTTCATGCAAATAATGCCTTCAGTAAGGGGAGGACTTGACTCATTTGAGTTGGAAGAGAAGCTTACCAGCTCTGAAAACGTGGGCAGAACTAAAAGCCAATTATAGTTAGCAATTGAATTATGCATGTGCTAGCTTTAGAGGGGACCTGTTTCACTTCTGTGACAAAGATAAATCTAAAGCAAAGAGGACAAGTTCTAAGGAGATTCAAAGTGAGGTTTTAATTTTCAGATATATTGAGTTTGAGGAGCTGGCTTTTAAAACAAGATTTGAAGTGAAAAGGTGTCTGAGTGTTTGAGCTAGGGTATCTTAAGACAAAGGGAGAGACTACACATAACAATGAATTTAGATGTTGTGGAAGGATATGTAAGTTTGGATAGACTGGACATGTTTATGTACTGAGGGAAAATACACTGGAAGTGATAAAGAAAAGGAGGAGATGACTGATGGACATCCAAGGAGGCAAGCAGGAAGAAATGGGATTCAAAGGACTAATGAATAGATGAATCTTGGAATTTCAAAATTAGTCTTCTCATTTGGATCCTTGAATGAACTCATGCAGGAGCCTTCCAGTTACCTGAGCCAACGTTGTCCTTTTCTCTTAATCCAGTGTGGGTGGATGTTCTGTTGCTTGTAATCTGACAAAATAAATAACGACCAAAAAATGCTTCTCTTAAAATATAAGGATGGCTGCAGATGACGGTGAGATTATGAGTGTCTTAGAGGATGTTATAGAATCTTTTCTGATGCCTAAATTATTTCTCTGAACTAGAAAGCAAGATTATCCACTGAATAGCGTGGGTGAGGCAGGCCTGAAAATAGTAATGGAAACATTTTAACAATTTAAAGGAAAGAAAGGAGAATAGAAGTATATGTGATAATCAACAATGAAATGTCACTAACTATAGAGTTACTGAGAGAATATCTTTCAGATTATCAAATTTGCTTAAAACTCCTTGTCTCTTGAATTTAGAATATATGCATACTAGAGCTATTCAAACTTGAAAAAGTTGTTACTCACTCCTGCAATCCCAGCACTTTGGGAGGCCGAGGTCAACGATTGAGGTCAACTCACGAGGTCAACAGATTGAGACCATTCTGGCCAACATGGTGAAACCCCGTCTCTACTAAAAGTGCAAAAATTAGCTGGGCGTGGTGGTGCTCGCCTGTAGTCCCAGTTACTCGGGAGGCTGAGGCAGGAGAATTGCTTGAACCCGGGAGGCGGAGGTTGCAGTGAGCCGAGATCGCGCCACTGCACTACAGCCTGGCGACAGAGGGAGACTCCATCTCAAAAAAAAAAAAAAAAAAAAAAAAAGTTGTTACGTGACTTGCTATTACTGATAATTGCACACATCAAATATTAATCAGGTAAATCATGTTAGAAAGCCTTTCTGTAATAAAAGAAAAAAATCATAATTTCTTCCAGTGCTTACATTAATTCCTTTCTCTCCTCCAAGGTGTTATTTCAATCTCCTTTTTAATTAAGAATAAGTGATGAATATAATTTATCAGTGTCTTCAAGAGCTCCTTAGTGGCCTTGATTACATGCAAATCAATTACTTACTAATAATCTGTTTTTAAACAAACAGTATTATTTTTCACATTATTTCTGAAGAGCAATAGATATACTTTTAGATAATTCGGTAAAATATCATTACATAACAAATATATATGTGTACATATATATACAAAAATGGAAATATATGTGTGCATAAAATATGTGTGTATACATATACCCACACTCAGTATATACAGTCATCTTTTGGTATTTGTGGGGGGTGGGTTTCAGGACCCCCATGAATACCAAAATCCAATGATAATCCCGTCCCTTGTATAAAAGGTGTGGTAATTTGTATAACTTATGTACATCCTCTCATACTCTTTAAATTACCTCTGGATTACTTATAATACCTAATACAATATAAATGCTGTATAAATTGTTGTTATGCTGTATTTTAAAATTTGTATTTTTGTTGTTTTATTATTTTTATTGTTTTGGTTTTTAAAAATATTTTCATTACAGTTGATTGAATCAATAGATGTGGAACCCATGGATACAGAAGGCTGACTGTACAGAATGTGACCATGTATTTCCTGGACCCAACTTTGTAAAAGAATGTTTATTTAAAATTCTCATTTTCTGATCAAGAGAGCTAAAATATATTGAAGTGTGAAATAAAAATAAATTATATGTTTGCATTCATTGTACTTCTATATAAATTATCTAAAAAAAGAATGTTCTACAACAGTAAAATCAATAAAATGTGTTTTATCCATATATGGAGAAAGATAAGGCATTGATTATATTTTCATCTGTATTATTCAAAACATATGACTGAAGAACATTATTTTTGACAATCCCTGATTATAAATAATTTCTTTGCTAAAAGTTAATTTATAAGATGAATTTTTATGTTACTGAGGTGTTCCCAGGTCACCTGGCTACCACATGAAGACTATTCAGCAAGTAGATAAAACTTGTATATATTGATAAAAGAAAATAATTTCACAAAAGTCAATATAATTACAAATTGTTAGAATACTTAGCTAAAGCTCCTCTTACACAGGTATTCAAGGCATAGTTAGGTAAACTTCAAATATGACACTTAAAGTGTACATAGTTGATATAAAATTTGTACTATCTTTTATCTGATGTAGAGAAAAGAAGAAACAAGTGAAGATAAGCAATATTTTTCTGGAAAAAACATGAATGTTATTAAAAAGAGGTTTTAAAGGTGTTTTAACATTCTTATAATTATGGTCTTTTTAGATTCTTTTCTAAAGTCAAATATTATTAAACTGATAAGCAATTTGTATTATTTTCATGTACTTTAAACAATCTGTCTCCTTCCTTCAAATATTATTCTCACGTTAGTCTTCAAATAGGAAATACAAAAACACTGACATCATTAAGTCCCTGGTAGGTGATCTGACTACCTTTGACTTCTAAAATATAAATCATTGTTAAGTATGTAATAAGGATGAAGAAATAAGATTTTAGCACCTTATTACAAGTTATAATTTACAGAGAGACATTTATAATCGATATGGTCTGACTCTGTGTCCCCACCCAAATCTCATCTTGAAGAGTAATCCCCATGTGTTGGGACAGGGACCTCATGGGAGGTGATTAGATCATACAGGCAGTTCCCCCATGATGTTCTCATGATAGTGAGTGAGTTCTCATGAGATCTGATGGTTTTATAAGAGGCTTTCCCCACTTTGCTCTGCACTTCTCTCTCCTGCTGCCATGTGAAGAAGGACATGTTTGCTTCCCCTTCCGCCATGATTGTAAGTTTCCTGAGGCCTCCCAAGCCAGGTGGAACTGTGAGTCAATTAAATCTCTTTCTTTTATAAATTACCCAGTCTCGTTTATTTCTTCTTAGCAGTGTGAAAATGGACTAATACAATAATCCTCCAAAAATCTCATAAGTATAGTTGTTGCTACTTCCATTAATGAACTAGTGAGTGATATATCCAGGATCTGAACCCACACGGAGAAATTCCAAAGCCGTGTCACAATTTTAATTATTTCTCACCTGTCAGACATGTAATTCTTTAATGATAATGTCCAAAGGTTTTTTTTTCTTAAGGTGAATTCTCAGCAGTACCATTTCTTGCTTCCTACCAATACACAAATAAGATCCTAGAGCTTACTTGCAAAATTAATGAAAAGGAACTATGTAGAGCATTTAGTACCTTGTAATAATTCTTCTACAATCTGTCTAAACATATATAACATACTACAACATTTATTGTAGCCATGATACATATAAATTTTATATGCATTATCCATGGAACGTGCTGATAATACATTGAGGAAAGTTAAATAATTAGTCACAAATTACAAAATAAAAAACTAAGGCACAGTTTGGTTAAGAGATTTTTCAAAAGTCATACGGATTTAAAGTATTAGAAGACAGATCTCAACCCAGGACCTCTACTTCCATCTTTCAGGAATTGATATAGGATGCAAATCCATTTGAAAATAAAAATTCCAATACTTCACCTCCATGCCCACCCTCAATCTAGTGGAACTGAAGGCTCAGGGAGCATACATTTGAGAATTTTAAACAAGATCTTTAGATCTGATTTTATTCCAATGTATTCTACTGTGCTTCATTGTATACTATTCTATTCATTACCAATAATGTTACCATCTATCCTAAACTCATGTCCTGAGTTTGATGTATGCATACAACGTGTCAGCTTTGTGTATTTCAATTCCAATTCTGCTACTAGGTTGCCACAGGACTTTAAGTCACACTCCCGTGGGCCTAATTTTCCACTTCTGCAAAATATGTGGAACAATAAATCAACGTTTCCTAAAGTATGTCCCTCGTAACTATCATTTGTGGCTGCTAATTTTATAAAAAATAGTTTCATGATCAGTGGTTAGGAATAATAGGCTAAAAAATGTTAAATAAGATTTTTTTTAATTGAAGGACTCAAGACTTTTCTTGTTTTTTGTTTTTGATTTTGTTTTTTGTTTTTTTTTTTTTTTTGAGATGGAGTCTCACTCTGTCTCCAGGCTGGAGCTAAGGAATTGTACATCTTTCAGGAATTGATATAGGATGCAAATCCATTTGAAAATAAAAATTCCAATACTTCACCTCCATGCCCACCCTCAATCTAGTGGAACTGAAGGCTTAGGGAGCATACATTTGAGAATTTTAAACAAGATCTTTAGATCTGATTTTATTCCAATGTATTCTACTGTGCTTCATTGTATACTATTCTATTCATTACCAATAATGTTACCATCTATCCTAAACTCATTTTTTTCTCTCTCTCACACACACACACACACACACACACACACACACACACACACACAATATAATATGAGATATACTGTCATAGTTTGGAGATGTAGAAAAAAGCATAAAACCTACAACTTAAGTCTTAAAGTCTGTTGATCATTTCAATTATTTGAACCATGAACTTTGTTTAAATAACACAGCTATTTGGTTTAAATATGGGAGGGATTTATGTATCTAAAATAATTTCTCTTTAAAATTCAGTACATAAGATATGTATTTTAGACCTTTTTAATAAACATTAAGTGATGAATTGCTTCATTTTATTTTGTCTTATTTTCCATACCACTTAAGGGAACTAACAGCAGGTGTCATTTGGTCAGAGGTCACTTCTCAGCTCCAATACTCACTAGCCTTATAATTAAGAAATAAAGTGTACATGATCTTCACATCTTTATCATTTTTAAAAGATTAAAGATAGTACCTTTCTCATGTAAGTGTAGTGATGACCAGCATAGTACTTGTCACCGAAGGAGCACTCAATAAGTATTAGCTTTCACTGTAACTTTAGAACTATCTTAGTTTTTATTTTTAAATGAATCTTATATGCTTGTCATGGTTTGTGCCACAATTTGGAGTTGCATTTTCTTACAAAACATTTTTTATTACTTTTGGTGCATATCTTGGTATGGACTTGTATAAAAATTCATGGTAGAGATGCTCTTTAATTCCCTTTATTCATTGGAATAAAATGAGCTCTAAAGATCTTGTTTAAGAAGAGATGACTTGTCATGCCTGCTGATAATATCTAGAAACTACTACTGCCCATCATCAATGACTGGAACAATTTTAATAAGTCATTAAGAGTATTATAAGATTTTAAATGTTTATTTTGCTTTTTTATTTCTATCCAGAACTTCCATTGAACAGGGAACTCCACATGAATACATGCAATGAGTATGCCCCCAGATCATAAAAGATTCTCCCTATAAAATGGAAATTATTTTGTCTAACATCATTCTGATTAAAATTTAATTCATGACCCTAATTCAGATATAAGAACTAATTTTTGTCTCTGAGTTAACTAGCAAAACTTCACCAAGGTCACATGATTTTAAGTAGTAAAGTGAGAGTTCAGTTTGTAATAATTTTAGAGTCATCATGTTATCCATTATATATTGTCTGTGTATTTCCAAAAGTATCAATTAATTAAGTGGCACTAACCTAATGTATACCTTAAGGCATAGGTTTGAAACTTTTGAATTTTTAAAAAATTTATGTTAATTATTTCAGGAAAAAAGCATTTTAGTAGATTGGATTTTTTGAAAAATTGTAGTGTCAGAGCTAATTAACAATTATGTTTTCCTTGACTATTACTTGAGTTTTCATCATTTCTTTCCAATACATGCTTTACAGATTATAAGTGGTAAAGTTTGCAAAGTGCAAAACATGGTAGAATTTCCTGGCTTAGAATGAATAACTAAGTATTGTATTCCTCACATACACAATTCCCTTTGAATCAGCATTAGTTTCAAAGTGTATGCTTTGTTCAAAAAATTTTTGCCCTCCTCTTATACTGATTTCAATTGTACCTACTTAATATCTGCACATTCTAGAAACACCAGAATTAAGGGTTTTTTGTCTTAAATTTAAAAAATATTTCTTTTTACTGACAAACCCAGATAATGTGGATATTCAATTCCTTTGTTTGGATATAATTTCAGGAGAGGATATACACTGTAAGAAAAAAAATGGATTCTCTATGAATAGCTGATGCAAGAGAACAATTCTAAGATATATTTTTACTTAACTCAAAATAGGTATGATAATTATGGGATATTAAAAGTTAACACTATGTACTCTTCCAATATAAAGTTGAGTTTCTTTATAATCTGTTTTTAAATAAGCATAGTATTGATTTCAAGTTGTGAACATACAAAAACCCATTTTTTTAAATCTTCCTGCTGTTGGTAAGAAAGAATGTGGGTGCTTTAAATACTCTTGATGTGTCTGTCACTGGCTGAATAATCGCCCCTCCTGTGCAGAATAGGCCTTTGTTTGTCACTGGGATCACTATGTAGGTGAAGATTGCCATGTTGGTTTTCTATCGACTTCTTAAAATATAAGCACCTCATCTAGGCTGCCATCTCTAGAGTGACAGATTGGGTAGATGATTCCATCACTAGATCGCACTGTGTTTTGCCATTTGAAACCAGATGTCATTTTTGGAACGAGAGTTAATGCTTTTGTCACAGAGTATTTCTCTTGTTTCGCTTAACATCTACTCACCTTTCAGTACTGAAGAAATACAAAATACAAGCTGATAAGGCTATCCCCAGGCAGAGTTTTCATGCTACCCATGGCAATCTCTGCAGTTATAAAGACCCTTCAATAATCTGTCAAAAACTGACATCACTGTGTGAAGAGCCGTTCATTTCTATATCTCATTTTGGATTGATGTATGTGCACTTTTATATCCTTCAGTTAGACATAACATTTGGCCTTTCATGTTCTCAGTTTAAGCTACAGGGAATTCAGAGCTATTTCAAAGCATAATTATACCAATCTGCATATAAAAGGCTATACGTCCTACAGAGGATTCTATGGAAAAGCAAACTGTTTCAAAGAAGAAAATTAGAAGTAATTCCCACAACTAAAATTCACTAAAGTTAGTACATGTTTCATCTGGTAAGTACAGCTTTATTTTTTTTAAGCCAGTAGATCAATCCCAAAAATAGTGGGGATGATTTTTTGTGTGCAAGGTCAGGGAAAGAGGAGTAAGCAAGAACTGAAAATTGAAGACGAAGGTAAAGCAACAGGGTGTGTACATTATACATATTGGTTTTGAAAATGGCCACATCACACCAGAAAAATCAATACTTCATATTACTGTATCAGACAATAGGATTCTCACCTACATAATGTATTAACTATTTATTGCCACATGGCAATATACCCCAAAACCTCACAACATAAAACCACAAATATTTATTATCTCACAATCTGTGTGGTTCAAAAATTTTAGTGCAGCTTAACTGGGTGCCTCTGGCTAAGGACTCTCAAAGGTTGCAGTCAAACTGTCAGCAGGGGCTGTGGTCTCATCTGAATGCTCAACTTGGGAGTCTGTTTCCAAGCTCACTCATGTGGTTGTTGACAGCCCTTGATCTTGTGCCACATGTGTCTCTCCACATAGCTGCCTCCACAATAGCTCTGCAAGGAATCCAGAAAATAATGAGACAGTATATAAGAAGTTCCTCAAAATGGAAACAATAGCATTTTGATACCCTAACGTCAAGTGTGAAATCACTTCACTTTTATCACTTTGATTTTTTTAGAGGTGGTTTACTAATCCCACCTACATTCAGGGGAGAGGTATTACTCAAGGCTGTCAATGTTAGGATGTGAAAATCATTATGGGCCATCACAGAGGCTGTCAACCCTACATAAACACAGTCATGTTAAATTGCTTTAGGTACTTTTTTATATTACAAAAGACATTTCAAAATGCAATTTCTGCCAGTGTGGTTTTAAACTAAAAGTAATTCTACTACACAAATTCTGCAGTCTTTTTTCCCAAATATATTGTTCTCCAAATATAATCTTGCTAGTTTTAGAAAGTTTCATAACTTGTAATTGATGAGTACAGTTACTTACATTTTTTGAGTAACAATTTTTATCTTTTTTTAAACATGAAAAATTGAGATTTGAAAAAAAAACCTCACAAATATAATTGTGTAAATTCTGGAGCTAACAAAGTACTTAGCACAGAAGTTATGCAGCATATGGTTATCCTAGTCCCAAACAGTAAAATGTGTCTGTATGTGCCAGCTCTTAATTATCAGCTCATTAACACTCAGGTGTCAATTGCTGGTGGCAAAGGCAATGCCCAAATGGCCTAGTTTCTGTCATGCACAGTGTAATTAAATTGACCTCAAGTATTGAAGCTTGCTAGTTGCCTGATACTATTTGGACACTAATTTCAGGCCACTATTCAAAATAGAGTAATATGGTAAATAAACCAATGCAATGACCAAAAAGGGATATTGAGTTTTATATTATAATATAATATAATAACCTTAGAAACAATTGAATAAATAATCGCTATTCTAATCTATAACAAATCTAACAATGCATATTACCCCTTTGGTTTTAACATTATTGATTTAAAATTACTTTAGATATCATTTCAAGATAATGATATTACAAAAAAAGTAAAAATAAGTTATTAAAATAGTGGCATATGGAAAAATGAATTACATATTTTATTATTTTGTTTATTGACATGTAATGAAATAAACCAATTAATATTTTAAATTTTAATTATGAATTCCAAAATGTGATTCAATTTCAAACATGTCAGTGCTTTTCTATATAGCCCTAACAACAGCAATAAAAAATCTACTGAAGAGAATCCCACATTCAAACTCTCAATAATGTAAGATCAAATTTCCTCATGACATTCTGCATTATGCTTATAAGACTTTTCTTTTTATGTCCATAGTTTATTTTCAAGCTCCCATTTACAGAGAGGGGAGAGGTCAATTAATGCACTAACCTTTCTTCCTCCTAAAACTTTATGAATGTGAAAAAAAATTAATGAAAAAGCTACAATGACAAATAAAAGACAAACAATTGAGGAAATAACTATGACAACATTCTGAATGTTTGGAAGTAGATAAAAAGTTATAATTGACATAGTAACTGCAAAAGTTTTAAAACCTTAGCTGGAAGCTAAGAGTGTAAAGAAGAAACCTGGTTTATCCCACAAAAAATTCCCAAGGCTTAGTAATTGACAGCACAAATTAGTTCTGAAGTAGGGGTAAAAATAAGCCTAATAAAAAGGACCAAAAATGTTATTAAGAAGCAGTTAGACCTCCCAGATGTCCTCATCAACTGTGCACATATAGGTGATCAACTATTCCCTCCGGTTAAGAGACACGAGATTTATTATTCTCTAAGGAGGTTGAAACAGAGAGCTCCTACATTAGGAAATAGCAGGCACAGTTTAATGTGCAATCGTCATACAAAGAAGTTTGGATCTTGGGTCGTCTAGATTTTTTTTTCCCAATTAGTTTTCAGAATTCAAGTACCCAGGCTTACACCTCCAGGCAGAAGACCTGAAAATATTTCTCTTGGTTATCTAACAAGACCAGGAAGAAAAATATGTCTAAACATATTGACCAGGAGTTCCCCAATTAAATGTTACCCAGATTACCCTACAGACAAACATACTCAAAAAGCCCTCCACACAGGGACAGAATTTATCTTCAGCGTTTTAGAGTACCTACATTCTTAATTATGAGCTGACAGCCAAGTATCATAAGACATTAAGAAAAGTCTCTAACATAATTCTAGGAGACACTATTCGGAAAAAATAAAATGAAAAATAAACTGTCATCAATATATTGGATAAAATTAAGTATTGCATATGCAAAGAGTTAAAAATACTTTAAAAGAGGAACATTCTGAAAACAAGAAGAACTCTTAGAATTCAAGAAACAATAATAATAGTAGTAATAAAATAAAAACTCAGTAGAGGTTTGGAATAGATACATAAGAAAATACCCTAGAAAGTATATTTTTAAAATATAGAGAAGAAAAAGTAATGAAAATTGACAGACAAGTAGAGGAGGTTCAGCATCCAAATAACGAAGGAGCCAAAAAGATGAAGAAAAATAAGGGAAGAAATGATGAGAGTAATAATTTGAGAAAATTTCCAAAAGTTGAAAGGCTTGGATTTGAAGATTGAAAGAGCTCACAAAGTGACTGCAACATGGATGAAAATGGACCGTCAAGTTCCACAATACCAAATTTCAGACCTTAATCACAAAGAGATTCTCTCACAAGTTTACAAAGGAGCTGGGGGATCCTGTGTTTATGAAAAGTTTATTTACAAAAATGGTCCACTTCCCTTAGAAGACGATATGGAAACTCTTTCAAAGAATCAAAGCTTCACAACAGAAAAATTTGACATGAGTCAAGCCTGACCAAGTCCTTAATTCTTCAAGTGTTCACAGAGTTTTGGTCTTTTTCATGCTAGATACTGTTCACCCTTAGTGTCTGAGGCCTAAAATTAAGGCCCATTGTTATGTGTTGGCGTCACTAGGAAGGCCTCAAAAAGCCTAACTTCAAGTTCCCTTCCCACTCTGCTCCAGAAGATGAGGTCTCCTAACCAAACCATCCTCCTTATCAAGGAGACCATGCACAGGCCCTGCTTATCCTGGGTTTCCTGATAGTGGGTTTCAGTTCCCTGCTAACACAGGGAATTGTTCAAATAAGCTAATCACATCATCCCCTTGGAACCAGGGTGCACTTCTTGAAACACAAAGCTTTTCTCCCACAGTCCCTGGTTGTTCCCTTTGTTTCCAAGTACACACTCCAAGTGGTCCTGTGCAGAATGCAGTGTCCTCCTCTCCCAGGCTGTGAGAAGATGTGACTAATAAATTGCTGTAGATGCCATTTGTCCAGTGTCCAGTTGCAGATTCTCCATCCCAATAATCCCAGGGCAGGAATCCCTCCCTCACCAATAGAGTGAATAGGAGGCAAGTAAAATAACCTCTTAAAGGATGGTACAACCATGACCAAGGACACCTGGTCAACTTTAATTCACTGCTTTTGGATAACTAAGTGGTTTCATGATACTGGGAAGGCCAAATTGGAACAAACCACTAATTGGTTCCAGCACCACTTTGTTTCCTCTCTTCCCTGTCTAGGAAGCTCTTGTTTTTCTCCAAAAGAAGAATTCTTGTTAATTGACTATACATGGGCATGACTGATGGTTGGGTTTGGTCTGTTTTTGGCAAGTGTCCCTGAGTCTCCTGCCCATAAAAGTAGTGACAACACAGCACCTTAAAGGTAGGCTGGTGCTTGAGTCCTACCTATCAAGGGTAAGCTAGAGCTCTCTGCTTACAGCATCTAACGTAGTGACCTTCACTAGCTGCTTGGGACAGCCATGTGGATGTTAACTGTGACTGTACACCCCCAGGAGGACTATGGGATGACACGTTGTCAGGTTTGTAGAAAGGGAGGGGACCGATACCCTAGAAAGAATTAAGCATGGCTCCCAGGTTGCCTAACAAGAGCCGCCGTTCAGGCAAGGGTAGCCACCTTGCCCATTTCCTGTGTAACTGTTTCCCTCATTGCATCCCATGCATCCTCCTGACTCCCAGGGGTATAAAGGTAAACATCTATGGCAGCCCATGGTCAAGGCACTGATGGAAAAATAATGAGAGAGAGTTTAGGAGCATTTCTTGCCAGCCCGTCTTAAAACAGTGGAGAGGTAATGCAACTGCTCTCCCAATGAAAAACCCTACCCAAAATTCTTAGGCTTTTCTTAGTGTTGCTGTTTACCAGCATGCAAAAGTACTTCACTGCCATGCCTGCCTCACAGTCAAAATGACCTTACTAGATGCAGACTCCAGCACTGAGGAGATTTGAGTGGCATTCCCTGGGGAATGAGATAGCTGTCCACAGGTGGACTGCTAGGCTCCCAACATTTTTACCCTCAACCACACAGAAGGTCTGCACCAAGAGTGATCAGGAAACGGACTGAAAGCTGTAACTATTAAACTTTACATGTTAAGAAATTCAAAATATTCTGAGGAAATTTGTACAGAGAGAACAGAGAGATTAAAAAAAGAGGAAGGCTGCATGCCTATAGTAGACAATGGTTTTGAGAATGACCTCTGGGTCATGACCCCAGAACACTTCCATTGTGCCAAAATGTTGTCTGTTTCTCTGTTGCAACAAAGATCATGATTCTCAGCTTGATAGGGTAAAATACCCATGACACCCCTATGGCATAGCATAGGTGTTATTTAAAACCCAACTTAAGTCTGGGGCTCTTAAATCCTATGATGCAACCATTTCCTTGGAAAAGGCCCCTAACCTTTATGATAATTATTTGAGGCTTTCTAAAGCAAAAAGTTTATAACTATGAGCAGAGTATAGAGGGGAAAAACAAAAAAGAAAGAAAAAGAAGGAAGGAATCTTGAATACAAGGGGAGAGAACAAAATTGAAATAAAGATATAAAATTGGACCACTTCTCATTGCTCCTGTAATGTCTATACTATCTCTATACCATGGCCATAAGCTGACAGTGGACTTCTCCTTGGCCCTACACCATACATCTTTACAGTGGCAATTTTTGGCCACATACTGGGCTTTTCTGGAAATACAGAACTCTCATAGACATTGAGCTTCTGATCCTCCATACCAAGCTGGCCATTATGTCTTGGGTCATGAAATCAGCATTCCATAAGCTCTGCACAGCTACCTAGGATTTCCTTCAACAGACTGGCACCGAACTTGATCCTCTAATATACTCTCCCTGAAAGACCAAGTGGCCTCACCTCTCCTCAGCCCCTTCTCTGATGCCTCAGTGCTAGAAGAGATCAACTCACTTGTGGAGCTCTTGACAACCTGGGAACAACTGAGGGAACATGTTGATATACTTTATGGATCAATGACCACCATTATACATGATGGAGCTCAATGGACCTTTACTGCTTTTCATCCATTAGTCAGGATGTCCCTGATAAACAACAGGATAAAAAGGTCAGCATAACTGGCCAAACATAAGACAGTCAGTTTTGCACCAAAAGTCCAGGACAGGAAATGGCTTCTTCTGTACATTTTCATGAACTCTCAATATGTTGTCTAAGAATTGACCCCTTGGAGGTAAAGATTCCTGAGAATCTCTTGCCCCACAGAGACACAATATAAAAATCAAGGCAACAGATATCACTATATGTACTAGGGCCACAATACAAGGCCTCACCAGAACACCTCTTATTCCTTTAAAGTTGTAAACATTATTGATAGTGACTAAGGCATTTACTTTACTTCTTAAAATAGACAATGTTGGGCTCTTGAGTAAGGTACTCAGTGCAACTTCCATGTACCCTCAAGACCTCGAGCCGCTAGTTTAATTAAGAGGCATAATGCCATCCTCAAAGAATTCCTATTTAAGCTACTAACTGGCAAATAGAACCCCTGGTATTGCCATAGGTATAGATTAGTTTAAATCCACATCTGTATTCTCTGCAATAATGCCACACAGGTCCCTCACTTTTCTTTATTGGCCATAAAAAGGATACCACTAAAGTTTATGTTTTTGAAGATTACTTCATGCATAGCCCTCTTTACCCTGGTCAAGTGCCTACTTCACATCCTAGGGAGTTTCTTCCACTGCATAGCAATCTACTTATCACAAAGATATAAACTGATGCCAAGGCTTCAAGGAGCTAATGGGGGTCTAAAATTAAGGCCCAATATTATGTGCTGCCTTGATATCTTGTATAACCAAGAGAGCCTCAAATGCCCTAAGCCTTCTTCACTCTGCTCCCAAAGATAAGATTCCCCTAGCCAAAGAATTGTCTTTATTAGGGATCCCCAAGCACAATTCCTTTTTTTTTTTTTTTTTTTTTGAGATGGAGTTTCACTCTTGTTGCCCAGGCTGGAGTGCAATGGCATGATCTCAGCTCACTGCAACCTCCGCCTCCCAGGTTCAAGCGATTCTCTTGCCTCAGCCTCCAGAGTAGCTGGGATTACAGGCATGAGCCACCATGCCCGGCTAATTTTGTATTTTTAGTAGAGACGGGGTTTCTCTGTGTTGGTCAGGCGGGTCTCAAACTTCCGACCTCAGTTGATCTGCCCACCTTGGCCTCCCAAAGTGCTGGGATTACAGGTGTGAGCCACCCCGCCTAGCACAATTCCTTTTTATCCCTAAGTATTGAGGTTTCAATTCCAGTCCCAGCCCCACAGATTTACTCAAACAATTCAATTACATCCGCTAGTGGGAGGTTGTTTCCTCTGTCCCTGAGTGCAACCCCAATGTGGCCTTTTTTGTTGTGCAGGGCCTTCCCCCAGGCTGTGAGAATATTTGACTAACAAATATTGCTGTCATTCTCATCCATCTATACACTGTTAGGTGTGTGTGTCTCCATCCCCATAATCCTACGGTGAGAATACCTCCTTCGATGGGGTGAATAGTAGGTAATTAAACTATCCTTTACATGCCTTCCTATTTTTCTTTCAATGTTTCACTAAATTAGTTAAAGTAAGTTGAGCTAACTGGGGTGGAATTATTAGGTGAAATGATGATGGTTTTGTAAAATCAGGTTAGTCAGATTTACTCTTGGTGATGCAGCAGTTTGTTCAATGTGATTTCTCTGGGAGACGTACTCATATTTGGCTGTAATTGTGCTTATTCACTACCAATATAACATGTCATTAAGAGGAATAAAAATGCCTACATTTCATTTTAATATAAATCCATAAAAGAACAATAAGAACTGTCTTTAGTTTTTTAGGCCAAATTTAACAGTGCCTTATATGAGAGAATCATCGTTATGGGTGAACATAGCAAGAACTGGAAATTTTAAAATATAAAATGAGGTTCTAGATGCTATAATTTATTTGTATATTTTCAAATATCACTACTCCCAAGATTTCAATTTTAAAATAAGACACAGAGAATGGAAACATAGCCTGGCACAGGTGGAGAACTCAGAGTCAAGAGAAAGGATTAGGGTGGGTTGTTAAGTTTATTGTTAGGTTCTTCCATGAGTTGACTTATATTTGTGTCATTTTCTTCATAGGTGGGATTCAGACCAAAATATTTTTAAGGCCCTGTTCTGCATTAACATTCTATTATCCTGTGGGACCCGCTTAAAAAATAGAAAATAAGATTAATTGCTAGTAAAGGTTAGAAGATAGTTGATGAATATAGACTTAACAACTTGAAGGTGTTAAGACTTCTTCAAAAATATTTGTTGAAAACATTAGTTGAACTCAGATGCATAGGAAAGATTTTAAAATGTCTTTTACAATAGTTACATCTTTTAAATATTTTATTAACATTTTCTTTATCTTTATTACTTATTGTTATGGGTGTTTGTTACAAAAAAAAAGAAAAAAAATGCCAGAAGGTTTGAGTTAACCTGTGTCCTTTTTACATGGGTCAAGCCTAATTTTGGTACATATACTAGCCAAAGTTATATATACAAAAAAACTTTAAAACTAATTATAATTTACATATGATATATTTATAAAATTACTTCTAAACATTATTAATGAGAAAGTTTTGACAAGAGATATAATTTAAATAATATTAGTAACCATTAGTAGAGAATAAAGCAGAATACAGCATGAATAGTACCATTTTATATTAGAATAAAAATAAAAGGCCGGGCGCGGTGGCTCACGCCTGTAATCCCAGCACTTTGGGAGGCTGAGGTGGGTGGATCACGAGGTCAGGAGATCGAGACCATCCTGGCTAACACGGTGAAACCCCGTCTCTAATAAAAATACAAAAAAATTAGCTGGGCGTGGCGGCGTGCACCTGTAGTCCCAGCAGCTCGGGAGGCTGAGGCAGCAGAATGGCGTGAACTCGGGAGGCGGAACTTGCAGTGAGCCGAGATCAGGCCACTGCACTCCAACCTGGGTGACATAGCAAGACTCCGTCTTGAAAATAATAATAATAATAATAATAATAGTAATAATAATAATAATAATAATAATTAAAAACAACTGTGGAGTTGTTTAAATATAATGCAGTTCAGGCCCCACATGGGCAGCAAGCATAGTAAAATTAAATAATAGAGAAAATTAGAAAGCCTTTCTACAAATAAGATATTTTTTGCAGAGTTTTTTTCCTTTACATTAACTTGTTTAATGGCAGCATGGTCCTCTCCGGCAAAGAAGAAAACATCCGTCATCATCATTTCTCCCTCACCTTCATCAGCTGACTGACCAACATGGTAGTGAGGAAGTACATCCTATTTGTCCCCCCGAAATGCCTCTCAATTCTATCCTCTCCCCTCCATTTTTACCAGTCCATTCTAAGTCAATTGTGTTCATTTGTTCCTTACCTAGAGATTCACAGTAGTCTCTTCCTACCCCAATGTCTCTTTTTCTCTTTTCCATTTTTGCAAGTTATCTTGCTATTTAATTAATTATTATTATTATTATTATTATTATTATTATTATTATTTTGAGACAGGGTTTCACTCTGTCACCCAGGCTGGAGTGCAGTGACACAATCTCAGCTCACTGCAACCGCCACCTCTCCAGCTCAAGTGATCCTCCCACTTCAGCCTTTCAAGTATCTGGGACTACAGGTGCGGGCCACTACTCCCGGCTAAATTTTTTAAAAATTTTTTTTGTAGGGACAGGGTCTCTCCATGTTACCCAGGCTGGTCTCCAACTCCTGAGCTCAAGCGATCCGTCCACCTCATCCTCCTAAAGTGCTGGGATTAATTACAAGTGTGAGCCGCCAGCCAGGCAAGTTATCTTGCTACATCTAAATTAGGCAACTCTTAGTTATTCGTAGCATTTATTTTTATCTTTTATTGTTATATCTAGGACTGGGATAGACACTTCTATAGAGTGTTAAAAAATGCTTTCTCACACACACAGAAATACATCTTAAACTAAAAAAAATCACCTAATATACCTTTTCACTCCAAATAACTGATTTGCAGCTAGAAGCTTGCTTCCCACCTCAGCAGCAACATCTATAACCAATAACCACAGTGTTGTAGCCTTATCATATAGCTTGATAAAAAGCTATGCCAGTATTACATATTTTTGCATGATGTTAGTGGTGTCACCAATTTTCCCCTATTCTGGTTTCTAAAGTTATAAGTACACCATCTTAGAATTAGGAAGACACCTTTAAACGGAGTAATATTTGCAAACACTGTCATGTGAGGCCATACATCATTGTCAAAGAGGCAATGGAAGCAACGTAAGCATCTATGGAGGCATTCAATGAGGTGGTTTGATATTACCACATTTTAAAATCAAATTTAATATACCTCTTAATGTTGCTTAAGGACTATTGTACCACTTTATTTCATTCTTTGTCAGGTTAAAACTAGAATTACTTATCATTTGTTTTCATTACTTTTTTCCTTGTTTTAACTTATGTATGTTAAAATATAACTCTCACACACATCTCTCATTCTCTCTGCCTTTAATTCAATTTTGTTTGGTATATTCTGTTGCAACCATTGTGTTGTTTTTTTGTAGTCTTTGTAGCCCTGTCATAAATAAGGGTGGTTTTCACGCAATGTTAAAATAAATCATTGATTGCACGGGTTGAAAAGCCCATGCCAGCTTGTTGATGATCAAATACTATTGCTTTCCAACCAGGCATTTTGATACTTTAAAGACTAATATTAAAGGGGATCAAAATGCAGATGTTTTACCTATAATATTATCTTTTATTTTCATGTATTCTTTCATATGAGCCTGTTATTACCTTTCCCAATCACACACACACACACACACACACACACACACACACACAATTTTGAGAGAAATACTTTGCCAGAAAAGTTTGAAATTGGCTATTCACTCTATTATTAATTAGGAAACACAACTGAGAATAAGAGAATTCTCACATTTTTGAAATAACATTTAGAGTTGTGGGCTTACACAATTCACCATGCCAACACTTCTTTTCTTCCTTTTTTCATGATCAAAAGAAGAGTTATTCACAATGATAGGGAGAAAATGGAGATGGGGATTGTGTTTCAGATTAGGTGATTGCAATGTTATCTAAATGTTCCTATCTTTCAGACAGATTGGTTGAGGAGTTGCCCAATGATCATCAGATGTTTTCTATGAAAAATAAGCAAACCAAAACAAAAATATCTTCATCTACACAATATTTTCATTATGGATCAATAAATTCCCTTCACAATATGAATACTTAGAAATGTCAGTTAAGTTACAGATTATTTTGAACTACCTTAACTGGGAAATTTAAAACCTAGTTTTCATGACAAGGAGATAAAACTTTTAATTGATTCAAAAGAAAAAAATAAGTAAAGAGGAGGACACCTCTAGGGAACAGAGCCTGTCAAGCTAAGTAATGACAACTTCAAGAAGTCTACTATTAGAGCAACTTTTAAAATTCAATTCTATTGAGCAGATACCGAATACTGCCCAAATTCATTTTTATGAAAATCATATGCAAACAAAATGATTCTGTCAAATATGCAGTATTTCCAACAAGCATTTATTTGTATGGAAATACATATTCAGAAAGGCCATTGGGGTCAGATAAATATGTCCTAGTGCAAACATACACATGTATTTTTCAATAGTAGAGATAGAGGACTATTTGAGAGCTATAAAAGGAAGTGGAGGAAGAAAGCGAACCCAGCCAGATTTGTTTTATTTCCTGTACTCCATACCACTGATAAATGGAGAGGCAAATATGAACTGAGCTGATGAGTGGATACCAATGGCAAGTCTACTTTCATCTTGAGGTTTTGAAATTTGCACTGCTTAGACACAGCTCTGTGGCAGGTTGAAATTTTGAGAAAAGAATTTCTTTTGTTTGTAGACTATATTCTATACTTTTGGTAACCAAGATCAGTGGTTAAATGTTGAAAAAAGTTTAATAACATATACTACTTGCATTGTGAAACTGCCATTGCAAAATTTTAACTGAGAAAATTATTGCAGTTAAAGAGATCCGAACTAGCCAACTCCATCTTGCTTTTAACTTCCAATCTGTCCTTGTTCACTCCTGGGCATAGGCCAAGCTAACTTTGGGAGGAACTTGGTTTATAGTTTAACTTTGAAACAAAGATGATAACAGCCCTTTCCCAAAACAAACCACTTTCCTGTCTGGGGACTAGACTGCCTTTGTAGGACTAACAAATTAGCCACAGGATTAGAGATTATGGTTTAGGAATCATGCAGCTGGAGGCTACAAGATTCTGACCTTTTCTGAATTGCTTCTGGGGATAACCTCACTATTGTAATACCTAAGATCACTGCTTGAGATATTTTGGAGACCCTTCACTTAATCAAATAGCTGGCACCATCCAGATTGATAAACCGGTGCATCCAGTCTTGTGGCCCCCAGCCAGGAACTAACAGTGCAACATGACAGCTTAACAGCTTCTATTTCCTATGATTTCATCTCTGAACCCTCCAATCAGTACTCCTGATTCACTGGTCCCCCCACCCACCAAATCATCCTTAAAAACTCTGATTCCCCAAATACTCTGAAAAACTGATTTGAGTAATAATAAAACTCTGGTCTCCCTAACAGTAGGCTCTGCATGAATAGCTTTCTCTATTGCAATTCCCCTGTCTTGATAAATTGGCTGTGTCTAAGCAGTGGGCAAGGTGAACCTGTTAGGCAGTTACAAGTCTGTGTTAGAATTGTGCTATGCATTTCAGATTCATCAGTTCACCTAATCCTCACAGCAATTCTACAACTAAGTGTACTTATCCATATTTTACAAAGGGTAAAAGATTAAGATTCAGATGTGAGGTAACTTCAGAAATATCTTCCCTGTTTCCACAGCATTAAATAAGTTTAAATTTGAAAAACAGATCATATGGTGCAGTGCTTTTCAAATATTTTGGGGAGTGATTCACAGTAAGAAATATATTTTACATTGTGACCTATTTTATATATGTATATATATCTGAAAAAAGTTTCACAAAGAACCATTTGCTTTTACATAAATGATGTATTTTGATACTTTTCTAATCTATTTTTCTATTTTATTTACTTATTTTTTATGTTATAATCTAGGGCCACTGATAAGTCTCAACCACAAATTTTGATCACTTAATTATTTGATGATTTAATATTTTCTTCCAATTTCCCTGGAAACTGTAATTTTCCTAAAGGCAGATAGTACCATTCATTCTTACTTTCTCGCACTGTTAGACCTCAGTATATGTCTGTAATCTAATACAATTTAATTTTACCACTGAAAATTCATAATCTTAAAGAGTCTATATTTCCCAGAAAGAGTGAAAATAAGGGATAAAAGGTAGTGATACACAGGGGGAAGCAAGGCAACTTGTAATCATAGCTGTTAACCTTTCATTGAGAACTATCATTCTTCTGTATTTTATTCGGTTCTTTTCCACTGAATTGGTTTATTAGATGTTCAAAGCAAGAGAAACACCTAGCCACACCCTCCCCCTGGCTAACTTGTTGCCTTATAAAATGAACCTTGGTCCAGATACGTGCAGTTTGCACTCAAGAAAATCAGTTACAGAGAACACACATGAGATTAAGAAGAACGTTTCTTCTATTACCTTGTAGTTAATTCAGACTTAAATTTCTATAGGGTAAATTCTGATTATTTTCATATTGTAAAAAGTATCTATCCCTTAATTCATATTTTCTTCTTGGAAGATGATACCCATACGGATTTTATTTTTCCTTACATTTCTATCAACTTTAAATATGAAATGCTGTGTTTCTAAAGTTATAGATAAAATCCCTTTCTTTTATTGCTTGAAGGTACTCATATCTTATGTACAACCTCTATGTTAATCTTTGTGGACCCTTGGTATTACTACACATCAAAAAAAAGTTAAAAAGTAAATACAGCATTAGGTGGAAAAATATATACTTCTATGATTCATTTTGGGTATCATGAGAATCATATACAACTAAATGTCTACTTTCAAAGCTATAAATATAATGAAATCCTTTAAAACCTAGCATATGCTGCTTCAAATGAGACTCAGTTTTGAACAGATGTCCCCTTAGACCTGTTATATTAAGACTAAAATTACTAAATCAGCATTAGATGTTTTTAAACTTAGAGCCATATTTGCCACTGATTTTTATTCAAAGCTCCCACAGGCGTCAGTGGAAGATCCATGCATGGAAAAATGGCATAATATGTATCCTAGTTTTATTTATTTCATATGTATACAGCAGTATAAAATAATTTATTACATTTACACTCATTTTACTTATGTATTATTATAGCATTCACAGTAACAAACACTGTAGTTAAGATTGAAACTCATCTTTTGTTATAATACCCTGTTTTCACTCACAGATAACTGTCTCAAAAATGTGTTTAGAGCTGAAATTCCCTGCTTACTTTCAGCTCTAGCATGTATGAATGTATTGGAAGTCTGAGTTCCATCATTCAGAAATTTTTGAGTCTCATGTGAAATTTAGTATTTTTTGAATGATGAATGCAAGATTTTTATGCAACTCAAAAACATCTGGAGAGTAAAACTTCAAACTAAGCATGTGACAACTTTTCAAGAAATAAAAGCAATTTTTCTAATTTTACAAATACTTAAAAAATAACAGTGATTAGAAATACACGCATGCACACTAAAAGTATTAGAATTTTAGTCGTATTATTGCCTGCAATACTCTGGCGGCACCCATCTACCTGCATTCATACAGAATGCTATAATCTAAAACCTATGCCAAGATTTGAAGAAAAGAATACTCTACTGAACAGTTTCACAAATTACTGTATAAGGATTTTGTCTGACTTAGCAGAGGGATGTTTGTTGAAGTACTAACAATATATAAAATAATTTTACTACTCCATGGTGTAAAAAATATGGAATTCCATTATTTTCTGTTTTTCCTTGTTAAAAAGGAACACAAAAGGATGTTAAGTGCAAAGCCTTTACCACTACAAAATTAGACTTGAAAAAGATAAAGAACTCAAGAATTTGTAATATGAAAAATATAAGATTTTCAGAAAAATCATCAAGTATACCAATATTTTAAGTATTTTTGAGTTCCTTGGGTATCAATAGCACACATAGAAACATGAGGGGGAAAAACACATGCAATGACAAATAACAGTGCTATGATCAGTCAATAACTTAAATACTTTTCTTGATCTTGCTGAACTTTTGCCACACTCTGCCTGAGTAATTGTTTTAAAGACTAACTGAGCTCCAGTAAATAATGTTTAGAAGGTAAAATGGTACAATTAACGTACAGTTGTTAAAGATTATATTGGGAATTGTGAGATTCTTTTTCCTCCTCTTATTGAAGAAGCAAGATAGCTTCTATAATACAGAGAATCTGATGGCAAATTACAATCCAATTAACAAATAAAACAATGAGAAATTAAAATATTTAAATATTCTACTATAGTTCTTAATTTGCAATGTTTGATAAAGGCAGTGCATTTAATATCTTTAAAAAATAAAATACACATATTTCCTTAATATTTGCCAAGAAAAGATGATACATATATCATTGACGCTATTATATCTGTGAAGTAATTCTGATGTGATATTTAAATTTGATTTAAGATGATTTCACCAAACTATGTTCACACGTTAAAAATTAGAATTCTACATGTGGATGAAATATTTTCTAAAAATTGTCTTTTGACATACCTTTGAAACATTAAGACACTGTTTCCACAGGAAATTTTTTTTGACTTTGACTGCTCTAAAACTAACCATGTTAACAAGGAGTAAATGACATGATTTTTTTTTCTGAAATAATTTATTGACGAAATACTGTCTAATACGATGGATATTATTCTTTGATGTATATAAAATTATGTAAGATTGGATATTAGAATGACCAGATTAAAGAGAAAACCTATCCTAAAATTCCTTGATATATTAATCTAGTAAATGCTTAATTAGAAACCTTCATTATTTGTTGGTTGCACTTTCCATTTTATAGTCCCCCTCATTGGAAGAAAACATTTTAACCAACTTACAAGAATCATATCCTTACTCTGTTGTAACTTCTAATTTACTTTGGATGCAACAGATAAGTTGATTAATGACCTAATAATGTAGCATTTTATCCTTAAACAATTCTATTTGTCCCGCAAATTAGGAAGAAGTTCTGGTTTTGGTTTTGTAGATTGATGATAACTAAAATGTAAGTTAGTATAACTAGTTCCTAGGATATATGAAAATAACTAATACACAAATATATAATAAAAAAGTTGGTTCAAAGGAGATTATATACAATGATATAAAAGGTTAAATAATTAAAGAAAATGTCTTTGAGGTAAATGACAATATAATTACTATACATGAAGTGAGTATAATCTTATTTTCAATGCATGCAGTAAGGAAGATGGATGTGGATATTCACCCATGATTGCAAAATGATGCGTGAAACATTTTAATTAAAGCAGAGTGACTCAACAAGAAAATCATTTTCTTGCTAAAAAAAAGAGTTGGAACAAACAGACTTTTTTCCAGTTAAATTATGTATAAACATTTCCTTACTAAAATAGTCTATCATTCAAAATATTAATGTAGTAATGCCAAAGTTTAAGAAAATGTTACTGCTGCACTTAGTGAATTTATGTGCTTTTTGTATTACATATGATCTGTTAGCTTCATATATGTTTAAAGAGACTTCAAAAGGCTGGAACATTACATACATTATTTTGATATATGAACTGATTGGAATATGATATATTAATATCTAATTTGATAACAGTCAAATGAGTGATACCAATATATCACTCTAAATGTACATATCAGGACCTAAGTGTGTGTGTGTGTGTGTGTGTGTGTGTGTGTATATATATGTATTTTAAAGTTAAATCTAGGGAAAAATTTCCACTTAAGTTACATAAAATTTGATGAAGAACATTTGTCAAATGTTAAGTTTTAGTCTATTCTTTAATAACACAGTGCAGCTCAAACTGTCATTGAATATAAGATCAGTTAAAAATTAAGGAAAGTATTTCAAAACAGGTTTCTAATTTGAACTGGGCAAACATTTTGATATAATGTTGAAGCTTTGATATGATGTTTTGATATCATAGTTTAGAGGGCGAGGGGAGCTGTGACAATTCTGTTTTTTGCTTGAAAGATTATCTTATATTCTCTGATTTTTTTCCTCTCTCGAATGTGTTCTAACAAGGCATACACAACAGTAGAAAAAATATATAAAAGAAAGGAAAGTGCGTCTTACTAAATTTAATAATTAATATTGTTGACATAAAAGTAAAAGGCAAGCTTAACTTTTGAAGGCTGACTCATGAAGAATTTTTTCATTAATCAAACACTGACTACATTTAAGCTATAAAATTTTCACATGGAATACTGAAACAATAATGTACCATGATTCTATCTCTAAATTTATTTTAAATTTAGAGCTTTCATATTTTATAGTTATTCTTTACCAGTTCAGATGTTTCTATATCTCTATATATTCATATAGAATTATAGATTTTATATTCATGTGTAATTAAGTCACAAAACTATGTAAAATAAAATTCTGTGTGAGTGATATGACTGATGACTTCTTAAAATAGTAATCTTCAATTACATATTTTACACCACAAAATGTACAGACACCCAGTTTTTTTCTAACAACAAATACAGGTGAATTTATCGATTCTTTATAAAAGCTTTAAGTGATTCTAAATTCAAAGTCATAGAAATAGAATCAGACTTATGCAGATTGTTAGATAGTTTGATAGTACATAGTCAGTGCTCTGTCTGATAACATCAATAGCTACATCTTTGGCATTGAAAATTCAATATGAGTTTTTGACAAAATTTTGTAGCTTAGAGCATCATTTTCTTTTAAACAAGGAAAAACACGGTTGAGTAAGATATGGAAATTGGGAGAAAACTATTAATGATTTTTTCTTAGTAAGTTTGTCTTTGGGACCCTGAATTACCTTTTATTTTATTGTATGATGTGGACTGTATGCATCCATTTAAAAACCAACTGAGTTGTACCACATTTTAGGAAAATTATATAATATAATATATATATTTTATATTTATTTAGAAGCTTTGAAATAGTACAGTAAACACTTTGCAACACGGTGTATAAACTACAGAATGTCTTTGATATTTTGTGGGTCTTCAGAATACAACATTTTTTATAACCCACAGGTGAAAAGAACATAATCACAATTTCTCTTGTAAAGTTGGAATAGCTTGCGGAACACTTGATCACACAAAAATAATATAAAACAGTCAAGTTTAAAACAGTGATATTGCATTTATAATGCACAAATTTCCTTTATCTTTATGACTGGCTTCTCGTGGTGAATATAAACATCTAAAGGGCTCAGTGACATTTGGAGAGAGAAAGATAGATAGTGCTGTAAACAGGCACACACTGATCGGGGAGGCAAAATCTGTTGCCTCTAAAGTTTCTACAGTTCTGCACATTTCAACTCATTTCTCAGGCCTGCTGAGAGCAATTAGGTCCTATAATTGGCCATGATGACTCCATCCGAAATCTAATACTCAGTTACACATGACTAACTGGATGGCCAAGATAATGAAGTTGAAAAGTTGATGCTTTTGTTGGTCGACTTTGTGCAAATCATGCTGCTTCAGGTAAGTCCTGTAGAATTGACTAGCATATCCTTTTCCGTGCTGTGAAAAAGAAAGAAAAATACTCTAAGAAAAAGAGGTTGACTTTTGGAGTTTAGAATTACACATTATTGTAAAAGAAAGAATACAGTTAGAAACTAGTTGTACCCTCATACCAAACACATGTAGTGTCAAACTTTTTCACTGCTAGTAGTCACAGCCATTCTGTTGTTTGGTTTTCTGAGAATGATAATTTTGATATTCTTATAAATTAGTTTTGCATGGGAAATGTACATTTTATATACCAAAGATGAAATTTGTGAAGATTAACTTTTTAAAGTTATCTACATAAAACAATCCCTACACTTCACTATTTATGCACAGAGTATAGAAAAAAATGTGTGGCCCTTACATTTCTAGAAAAAGTTTCTAGCAAAATCTATAAATAACTTGTTTTATATTTAATTTCATAAACTATAAATTATACATATTAAACCAATATTTATTATGGAAAACTGTACCAGAAAGTGTTTATGTAGTTAAATAATTTAAAGATGACTCACATTTTCTAGGTTTATTTAATCTCATTTATAAAATTTTAAAACCAAGTATTTTTATGGCCCATACATTTTTTTAAAGTATTCTTACTATGAGAATCCATTTTCTCATAAAGGAATTAATAAAGGCAAAGGGGAGAAAGATATTATCAAATTTGCTCTAGTTGTATAAAATATATTAAATTACAAAGCAGAATGCCCAGATTTGATTGCCCAGATTTCATAATTTTAAGTATTTTGTTTATTTGTAATGATAAATAATATTTCTTCCCTTATCCATAAACTTTGTAATATTTGACCATAAGCACAATGAGAGCAGAAGTTGCATCATATCTATCAGTATATGGCACATAACAGACATATAACAAAAATGTGTTGAAAATAAAGCTAGTTGAATTTAGATTAAATTTTCACATATCTCATTAAAAGTTACAAAGTACATTAAATAGCAAAACAATTATTTTAATCTCATAAATGGTTGCTTTTTTTAAACAAAGATAAGAACATGTTGATCTTCTCAACCTTATTCTCTGGTATTTCAACTCATTTCAAGACTATCTAATTATCTATTTATCCTAATTTATTTTTCCTCAAAAGCTCAGTTTCTGACCATGAAACAGTTCTTTACTAGTTCACCATTTAGCAGGCACATCAATCAAAACCATAGCAGTCGGCCGGATGTGGTGGCTCTCGTCTGTAATCCCAGCAATTTGGAAGTCCGAGTTGGGTGGGTCACCTGAGGTCAGGAGTTTGAAACCAGCCTGGCCAACATGGTGAATACCTGTCTCTACTAAAAGTACAAAATATTAGCCTGGCATGGTGGTGGGCGCCTATAATCCCAGCTACTTGGGAGGCTGAGGCAGAAGAATTGCTTGAACCCAGGAGGCAGAGGTTGCAGTGAGCTGAGATCATGCCATTGCACTCCAGCCTGTGAGACAAGAGCGAAACTCCATCTCAAAAAAAAAAAAAAAAAAAAAAAAACCCATAGCAGTCAGGCACCATCATCAACAGAAATGAAAGTGAAAATAAGTATCTACATGTATTGTGTAGTATAATAACTAGTATTGAAAGTAATCAGAACATATTTTGTAATGTATGATATCCAGAAGAATAAAATGAATTCGATACAATATATGGTAGTCATTATAACCAGGTCATAATATTCCAGAGAATATTCTACAAGTAAACGGAATTATTATTTTAATAGAATGAAATCCTATTTTTCTGTGTCCTTGAGTTCAAACTGTTTCATGAGAAACTTATATGTGAAATAATTCAAACAAATTTGTTTACACCAATCAGAATTGAAAATTATACAATAAATTAGAATAGTGAAACCTTAGAAGTCCAAGTTTATAAAACAAATCAGAGCAAATCATTACGGTCACCAAATAATTTGTTGTCTAAACTGGACCCACTGGTGAGTGAAAAGAAACACTATTATTAATTACAAAAGATTTTGTGCTTTCTGGACAACCCAGGAAAATATTGTCACCGACAAATAATATTACTCCTTTCAAAATAAGCTGGGTTGGGGCCTTTCCTGTTAATAGTAAAAATCAGAAAATGCTGATTTAGAGGAAACATTCTTTTCTTAGTTCAAGAACAAAAGAAACTCAGGAGTGACCTATAGTCAACCTATAACTAATTCATTATGTCAAAAAACTAATATACTGAAAAACTATGTTTTAGTATAAATTCAGAAAGTAGTCAACATAGCATATGTTTAGAGTAATAAAAATATCATTTCTAGTTCTTATGGCTTAAAGGCCATTAACATAAATATTATGTGTTCACTTGATTTAGTTAGGATACAAACAGAAATTGTTTCTTTTTAATAAAAGAAATTATTAAAATGGTTCACAGTTTTAAGAACACAGAAGCTTAGCACACATTATACTCAATATCTTAAATATAAACATAAACTTAAAAGACATCTTTTAATTGCTGCTTAGAGTTACGTGTTTTCTTTTTTAAAGTTCACCTATTGTACTTGTTGTCTGAATAATATAATCACCTATTATTAAATTTACTTCCTCCCACCTATGTGTTAATTCAGTAATGCAGATTTGGATAGGACAAATATAAGATCTGAACTTAGATCTGATCTAAGTTCCGAAGGTCAGAATTAATTAGATTGAGGAAGGAAGATTTCCTCCATGTTAGAAGAAGCTAATCTTACATTTATGAAGAGTTATCCCTCAGTGTCTGTGAGGGCCTGTTTCCAGGTTGCCCCCAAAATCGAAGGATGCTCAAGTCCCTTATGGCCTGTAGTGTATGCATATATCCTATGCATGTCCTCCTAAATATGTTAAATTATCTTCAGGTTACTTACAACATCTAATATAATGCCTAACACCAGGCACATCACTTCATTCACATAAATTCAAGGCAGTACTCTGTGCATGGCAAATTCAAGTTTTGCTTTTTGAAACTTTGTGGGACTTTTTTCCAAATATTTTTAATCCACAGTTGATTGAATCCACAGACAAGGAGCCCAAGGATACAGAGGAGCCAAAAATCCTGCCAACCTAGAAATAGTTTATACTATTACTAAAGTTTTAGTCACATCCGCTTTATTTCAAACCTTCTACGGGTTGAGTTTAAACACTGAATAACTATTATTCTTGGCTGGGCACGGTGGCTCAGGCCTGTAGTTCCAACAATTTGGGAGGTTGAGGCGAGCGGATCACTTGAGCCCAGGAGTTTGAGACCAGCCTGACAAACATGTCAAAAGACCATCTCTACTAGAAATACAAAAGTTAGCAGGGTTTAGTGGCACAGGCCTGTAATCCCAGCTACCTCGGAGGCTGAGGAACAAGAATTGCTTGAATCTATGAAGTGGAGGTTGCAATGAACTGAGATCTTGCCACTGCACTCCAGCCTAGGAGACAGAGCAAGGCTCTGCCTCAAAAAACAAACAAAACCTATTATTCTTTTAGGGTTGTATGGCCTAATGTTGGACAAGTAGCAAGCAAATATTATCTGACCCTCCCCACAAAAAAAATATTAATTGATGACATTTTAGAGCCAGTACCAGGACAATTATTCCAGTGTTAAGTAACATGGCTATATATTTGCTGATGCATTTTAGGTTTGACAGAATGAGTCAAATACACAGAGAATCTCTATGCTTTCTAATATATTCTATGTATGTTTTGGAATTATCAAAGCATGCTTGGAGGATTTCTTTTTCTTTTCATTTCACAAAAGCATTTTTTTCTTGTGATGCATCAGCATGTAGGGAATTGGTCACTTGATAGATAGGGAGGTTTTATTTTCAATCAAATGAAATCAGAAGTAATAGGAAAAGGACTGTGTTCCTTCTTAATTTTATTCATTCAGTGCATTTATTCTTCATAGTGAGTCATAAATGCTAGATTAAGATACTTATCTTAATATCTAAACCACAGGTGAAAATGTATCCTTAATGGAAAAGAGATTCTCAAGTATCTACCTTCTGATAACTTAGCATAGATATAATTTTTAATAAAAGTTCCATGGTGTATATTTTTCTTTATATTGTGGAATCCTATTTTTGCCTTTTATAATTTGCAACTGAATTAAGCTATGAGAAAAATTAAATACTTAAACAAATTAAAATTTTAAGGTATTAAATTGACTAATGACTTAAGACAAATGACTGTCACATGTATGTTGCAGAAATAATTGTAAAGTGGTCAGTACTGATACACTGTTCATTGCATGTAATTGCCTGGTAAAAATTATTTTATTTTATACATTAAAATAACAATTTAATAAATTGAATATTCACATGGTCAAACTTGCAAAAGAGGAAAGAAAATACCCTTTATACTTTATGATTGTATAAACCGCAGAAACTAAAGCAATACATTAAGATTATGAAATAATCTATTTCTGCAATTTAAAGAAAGGACACCCTTCGAATATCTCTGATGCCTGAGACTCTCCACTACAGTGAAAAATTTCCAGAGGCTGCGATCAGTAACCTACTCCAGAGCTTATTCAAGTGTTCAATAAGCCTCATCATCAGGACACTTCTTTACATATAAATGCATCTAGCGTACAAGAAGTTGAACAAATTACTCCCTGTGGAAGTCAGAAATATCTGCTCTCCGCTCTATGTAAAAGCACATCACACACTTCAGGACAGTTTTAAAGTGAGCCTCCATTAGAAATTTGTACAGTTAATCCATTTTTTTAACTTCCTCTGTCTTATTCTTGAGCCATGTTTAACGGTTCCCTTTAAAATCTTTTTGAATTTTTTTTTCAGTTTAACCTTATATCCAGAAATGAGCACAGTAGTGTTAACTATTAAAAGAGGGTAACTGCTTGATTTTTCATTTGCCTTCCATTTGAACACTCATATTTGCTTTTATTTTTGAAAATATAGTTGTATATTGTTTGGATTTTAAATCATATCTTTCTCTCCCCAGAAAGTATGAATAGATTAAATTCTAAATTTAAATATATATATTTATATATTTATTTATATGTGTAAATATATAAATATATACATATCTAAATGGAAAAGTTAAAAATGATTACTGTGTTTTTAGATATGTTCCTCAAATCAATTCAAATAATAATATTCAAAGTGTTTTGTCTATAGGAGTTAATATACTATCACTAGTTTTTGTCATAGTTAAAAGCACTCTTCATTCATATAATTAATTAGAAGTAAGTATGATTAAATCAAACAAAATTGAGTTACTATAACTGCATCTATTCTCTTAATAATATGAGAGGTAGTTGACACAGTTGCAGTAGTCCACTGGGTAGATATTTCCTGGTGAAACAGTTGTAAATGTACTATTGCCTTGTGAGAAGGTAGTTCTCATGTGTAAATATATAAATATATATATATAAATATATATATTTATATATATATTTATATATTTACACATATATACACAAGATTATATATAATATATAAATATATGTAAACAAATATAAATATATATATTTTATATAAATATATGTAAATAAATATAAATAAATAACTTATTTATTTATATTTATAGATAATAAAACCGGTTTATTTATTTATTTTTGAGACACAGTCTTGCTCTGGTGTGCAGTGCTGTGATCCTGGCTCACTGCAACCTCAGCTTCCCGGGTTCAGGCGATTCTTCTGTCTCAGACTACCAAGTAGCTGGGATTACAGTTGCGCACCACAACGCCAGGCTAATTTTTGTAGTTTTAGTACAGATGGGGTTTCACCATGTTGCCCAGGCTGGTCTCGAACTTCTGGCCTCAACTGATCTGCTCACCTTGGCCTCCCAAAGTCCTGGGATTATAGGCATGAGCTACTGTGCCTTGCCAAACTACGGTTCTTAATTTTAATTCATAAGGTTCATACTCTCCTAGACTAAATTTGCTTTTTTCCTTTCATCAGACAGAATTCTTTAATGCTTTTTTATTCTATTTTGACAGGGATAAGGGATTATAGAACATAGGTGGAAAACAGGAGTTTGGAGATGGTAGTATTATAATATGTACTATATGTAAACTTTATTAGTCTTTTAGAAAGCAAATCTTGTAAAATAAATGACTCAAACAAAGCTTTAGACCATTAATGTGAGAAATACATAGTAAAGGCAGGTATTTATTTTTATTTTAATTTATGTGTATATTGAATACTTACAACATAGTTTGCAATTAATAGTTATTAAATTAAAATTTAAATCCAGGGATATTTAAAAATAAGAAATCGGCAAACAGTTTTGTGAAACAGAAATATACATCAATGAATGAATAAAATGTATAATTTCAAATAGAAGAGAGAAGCATGTTGAGCATAATAATTGTCTCATAGACATTCTCGTTCTAGCAACCCTGGCACCCTTAAATAGTTGGCCATCTCTCCTAAAATTCTAATGTTACCATTGTGAAAGAGACTATTTACAACTTCAAGCTATGAATTAGAAATGGATCCATCCTAATTTTCTCACCTAGCAGAGTGTGTGCAATGAATAAATTTACTTCATTATCTGGGAGATACCTTCCAAATCAAGTAGAGCTGATATACTGTGAAAGGCCCTAAGTTTACTACCAAGAGAATTTCAAAAATTAGTATTGATCAGTGCTTATTTTTAAACCAAATTTCATTGCTATGCAAAAGACTTAACAGCTTTAAAAATAGGAGCTTTTATTTGTCCAAAAGTGTACTCCACAAATACAATGGTATACAATTACCCTCACATAGCTTTGTATGACAAAGTGAATCCACTGAAACATTACAGATTTTTTTCTAGATGGAAGATCAGTAGGCACTGAGAAATTTCTATGTATGTGTGTGTGCATGCATGTATGTGTATGTGTAAATCAAAACTACCTTCTCATAAGGTAACAGTACATTTACAACTGTTTCACCAGGAAATATCTTTCCAGTGGATTACTGCAACTATGTCAACTACCTCTCATATTATTAAGAGAATAGATGAAGTTATAGTAACTCAATTTTGTTTGATTTAATAATACTTCTAATTAATTATATGAATGAAGAGTGCTTTCAACTATGACAAAAACTAGTGATAGTGTATTAGCTCCTATAGACAAAACATTTGAATATTATTATTTGAATTGATTTGAGGAAGATATCTAAAAACACAGAGTAATCATTTTTAACTTTTCCATTTAGATACAAGAATCGTCAGTATTCTAAAGATCTATTTTTGAAACTCTAAAAAATTAAACTTTTAAATTAAAATATTTGTTTAAAAAAAGCCAAGACAATGTACTAGCATAGAATTTTGTAAAACGTTCTTCAACTTAGTTCAAGTTTCTCTAAAAATGTGAAAAATTATGTTTTAGAAGCGTAATAAATTTTCCCTTAGGAGAAAAATAACAGGATATGACCCTAACCTGGGCACGTTGGCCACCATACCAGGCTCTATTTGACAAACAGAACACCATTGCCCAATTAGTATCTCAAAGTAAAGTTTGGAGACTGAATTATTTTTCAGATGTTCTGACCCTATGCTGGTGTACATTTAGGAAATGTAAATATAACATATCTTTCTCTGCATGTTTATAATATCACTGAAAATTTTTCTGGAATCCTTCATCAGAGTCCACTAAAATATGGAAATTGTGATTTGTTCCAGAAATATTTGAAAATAGCATTGTTTACATTATCAATGAAGTATCCTTAAAATTTATTTTGAAGACAATTCACTCAGTTATATCTTACTTTAATAAGAACAAATGATACTTTCATTTAAGTTACTTTATCAGTATTGTGTGTATCTGAAGTTCCAACAAAATATCCCTACTTAAAAAAATACACAGTTCCTTTTTTTTGAGAAGTACAGAGCTGATAATATTTAGTGACATTTAGACACTTTTCAAGTGTTTTCCTTCAAAACAATATTATAAGAAGACTATATTAGCACCTTTCCTGTGAGGTTGAAACTAGCATTGATTTTCAAAACAGAAGGCATGAAAATGCTGAATGGGATTGGTCATTCCTGACTACAGGAATGTTGTGCTTGTATAAATCTATTTGCACCTATTGTATCACAATATTCACTCCAGCTACTTGTGATGTGCGCAACTTCATCTTTTATACGAAAATCAAGTATAAATTCCAACAATGTAAGATGAGAAAAAAATACAGGCAAATAATAAGACCTTCATTAAAAAACATATAGCCACGTAGCTAATGTATTAACCATCAATAACCTACTTAAGAAAGGGTAAAGTTTCAAAATAATTTAACCACAACCCAACAGATTTAAGAAATGTAAACAATTGGAAGTTCTGGGTTGGTAAATATTTCTAAACGCCTATTCAAACATATGTTCAAAGAAGACACAAGACATACAACGTAGAAACAGTGTGTAAATGTATGGCTATTTACATACTTGATGATCAGATTTTCCCTAACATAATTCAGTTACTTCTATGTCAAGGCAAACAGAAGTTTAAAAGCAGGAAGGGCAGACTAAGAAGGGGGTTAAAAATGTTCACACATTGAAAACTGGCCACAGAGAAGAGATGCAGAAAAAACAACCCTGCACTAAAGCACCAAGACTACACGTTCTGATAACCCCTTGAGTTGGGTTGCCAGAAAAAATACAGTGTGTACGATAATCTTTGAATTTCAGATAAACAATGAATAATTTTTAGTAGCTGTACGTCCCATAGAATATTTGGGTGCTAAGTATTTTTTGTTTGTTAAGTCTGGCAATGCTGTCCTCAGGGCATCTACTTCATGATAGCACAGATGACACTACTTACCACTAAAGTCAAAAAAATGTTGCATTGTGTTTTTAAATTATAGTATAGGACGAGTTTGTATAATAAGTTATCTATATATTTCCATCAAAATAATTTAAAATTAAGGCATGAGAGTTCAGAAAGATAAAAAAAACTAAGTTATCTAGAATATAAATTTTTAGTTAATGACTAATTGTCTGATTATTGTATAATCTTAACTGTTATTTAAATTATTTCTTTGTATTATGATTACATTTTATCCCTGTTTTTTTGAGTAAAATTTTTGTTTTTATGAGATGGATATAGCATATTAAATAAATATTATTTCTTCTTGGCATAGAAGGTATAATTTTTAATTGCCTATCCTAAAATGAAGGCCTGGGTACATACTTTAGTTTTAGTTATACTCTAGAAACTCATTAAACCACCTCTTTTTCTTCCTTTCAATTTAACCTGTCATCAGATAATTAGAGATTTGAAAACTCATAAGCAATGAATTAAACTTAGCTTTAAAAAAATCACAAAAATGTTAAATTATTGAAACAAGATAATATCCTGCTTGTTAAAGGTTAAAATTTATTTAATTACATTCTAATTAGATGCCAAGATTTAGATCCTTAAATCATTATGTTACTTTTGGAAACTTTAAACTTGGTTTTGAATTAGAGATCATCTTAATTATTATAAACATTTAATTACATAGCAAAGTAAAAATGTTGCATTCATATTTACTATCTATGCAAAGTATTACAATAAATTTAAATAAAAGTTCAAATTTTAATTAATCAATCTTTCTTGGGGCCAGTAAAGAATTCTGGTTAAAAAGTTTTGAAAATGTATACTCACATATATGCTTTATCATTAAACTATCACAAGTGTACAAAACTACCTACATATCTCATAATAATGTTCTCGTAAAGAAAGCAAAATCCTTCAACATGATATTAAAAAAATAGCATCTGATGTACCCATTCATTACTACAATGCCATAAAACAAATATAACTTATGCAATAATGATGGTAAGTAAGAATGCCATATACATACAAACTGTTACATAAAAACTTCAGAAACCTGAAGGAAAACTCAGGTGAATTGCCTCCAGCCATAGGTATACAGTACTATCAACAACCTCCTGTTCATAAATATTATACATATCCACAATGGCTCACCCTTTATGTTTATATTTAAGATTACCTTATATTTACTTAGTGTTTACGTATACGTTTTCCAATGATACGTGGCAGACAACTGAAAAGAAAATAGCTTAGTGAAATTAGCAGGGAGTGATGGTGAAACATGAGCTTAAAGGAGTTGTGAAAGACAAAGTGATATACCAGAAGAAAGAATAAAATAACTAGTATAGTTAGGCCAGAATAAAAACAGAAAATTATGAAAATTTGAAAGAAGATAAAATAGAGTGGAGATTATTTAGGACTGGAAATGGTTAAGATTTTTTGTGGTTTTAGTTTGCTTTTTTTAATGTCATTCAGAGACTACTGTAATTTTATTATTTATCTAAGTCAGGGTAGAGGCCTAGACAAACTATCCTGAAGAAAAAAGATTTGCACCTCATTTCCATTCAGAATATTTCATTTATTGACTCATTGATGTAGTCTATAAGCATTTATGAGCGTCTACTTTGTTCCAGACACAGTTATGGAACATGGGACCCTTAAATGGAGCAAATGATTCAGCTCTAAAAGATTTTACAGTCCAGTGGACCAACAATTGTTTCACAAAATATTCTAAAGACAGCAATTATGTTTAAGAATCTATAAGAAGTTACAGTTAGAGTGTCTGTATCTTAGTGTCTGAGAAGTCTTCTCATTAAAAGTAAAATAAATTGAATCTTGATTGATGAGTAAGAGACGGTCATGCAGATGAATGGAGAGAAAAGCGGGTTTTCAGATGAGAGAGGATGTCAGAAGAACAGAATGTATAAACACACAAGGGCTTGAGAAAAAGTATCTATGAAGAAGCTGACAAATTATTAAATGATGTGAAACAGAAATGTAGGCAGAGCTTAAGTATAAAAGTCTTTAAAAACTAGAATAAACATGAACGTTATTGTGGCTTCAACAGAGAGCCTCAAAAATGTGTTAAGAGGAGAACATGAGTCAAATATTTTGGAGAAATAGTCTAATTACTTAATATTAAAAGCTAGATAGTAAAAGAGAGGAGTCCTCATTGATTTTCGTAAGCTAGTCAGAAAGGACTGGATTTGAGGAACACAAAGTATACGCCTGCCTTCCCACAGAGCCCAGTGGGAGAACTCAGGGTTAATACTTTCCATATCTGGAAGTAGTTTGCATTCCATTACTTTAAATCTTCAAAATGTAACAAAACACTGCACTCAAAAAGACTGCCTGGCTACTTTGTGGCCAACTCAATTCTAAGGATGACTGTGAAAGGAAAAAAAGAGATGAAATGAGATGCTTAAAGAAGGGATTCCATGCCACTATCTCAAGCCTCAGGTAGTGTCCACAGCAACAAAATTTAGGAAACCTATAAAAGAGTACAGGAACTTTTTTCCATAACATTTAATGAAGAAAAAATAAGGCACATAATGATCACAGACTAATATTGAATTCACTTTATAACTGTGAGACTGAAACTTTTTAGAATAAATAATTGCTTCTAGGTTTCTTCTTTCATAGAGAGACACTCACAAGTAAACCTGACCCTAGGAAGATCTCATCTGTAACTCACAGAATTAGTGAAAACACATGGATAATTTGAATTATAGCATTTCAAATAACATATTTCAAGTGATTAAAAGTAACATACATTTGATTGTTTCCTATGCAAAAATAACCCGTCACATTTCAATTTACCAGTATTTTAAGTTATCATCTTTCCTCATGTCTGTTTTCTGCTTCCAAAAACTTTAATTAAAAAAAAAAAAGTCCAGGCCGGGTGGCTCATGCCTGTAATCCCAGCACTTTGGGAGGCCAAGGCAGACCAATCACCTGAGGTCGAGAGTTCGAGACCAGCCTGACCAACATGGAGAAACCCCGTCTCTACTAAATATACAAAATTAGCCGGTCGTGGTGGTGCATGCCTGTAATCCCAGCTACTAGGGAGGCTGAGGCAGGAGAATCGCTTGAATCCGGGAGGCAGAGGTTGCAGTGAGCCAAGATAGTGCCATTGCACTCTAGCCTGGGCAACAAGAGTGAAACTCCATCTCAAAAAAAAAGAAAAACAAAAAACAAAACAAAAAAAAACACACACTGGCTTTTTGTGCTGTCTCTATAAATGTTAGCTACTATTACTATTGGTATTATTATTCAAAATGTTTCTTGGTCTACCTAAAACAACTTTCAAATCTTAACCTTAACTATACCTCTGGATATATCTGATAGATTGGACAAGCTAGAATATTTACTTCTCCATATTTATTATTTGCTCTCTAATTCTGCATTTTGGTTCATGCACTTTCCTGCTCCTAGAATGCCCTTGGTCTCTATCCATTAAAAATCACACAGATAGTGCTTAAATAGTGGCCCCAAAGTGAGCTCTGCAAATTCTTCCTTGATTACACTGTAAGGAGTCTTTTCCAAAGATAGTCAAAGATATTTTATTCTAATAAATTAAATATCACGTTCCTCTGTTAATGCGATGAGAAATTTAACACAGACTCATTGAAAACTAGTGCATTTTGATAAGAGGAAAATGCTTAATTGCAGGTGACTATGGCAATTGCATTCACAAGCATATTAGATTAAAAAACAATTACATTTGTTTAATATTTAATTTCTTCCATTGCTAGAAATAGCAATATTAAATGCAAGAACTTTATCATTGTAAAAAAATGAGAAATTTTTCTTTTCATATGAGGAATAAACATAAATGAGAATGATTCTGAAATGAAATTGGGCACTAAAACTTAGTTGTTAGGTCTCTTGTTATTTGGGCAAACTGGTGATGTACATGCAAAACTGATGTAGAAGTTAGAAGACAGAAACACATAGAATCAAAAAAACATGAGAATTACACAGAGAGCCCATTGAATAAACTATAAGCTGTAACTAAAGTTTGGGGTTTCTTTCAAAGGGGTTTGTGACACTATTTGTTAGTTCTGTGTCACTTTGAAAGACAAATGTACAAAAATATAAATAGAAAGCTGATTGTGAGAATCAGGTTTATTAGATAATAAGATTTTAGTGAAGAACAAAGGAGGCAAAAGTATCTCTAGGCTTTTATGTGTTCAAATATTGATCTGTAACAGATATAGATATATTTGGTATATGTTACAGAAAGACAATTTTTCATACTAACAGATGGCTTTCATTTACTTTGATCATTTTCGGGCATCTATGTCTTTTACACAGGGCTATCAGAACTCTCTAGGGTAACAATATTTTGTATAAGGCTAGAATTTGCACTAATATGCCAATACAATTCTCTAAACATAGATGAGTCAAATTCTATATGGACATTGATTTTCATTATTTTAATTTTTTTTTGCCTGAGCAAATAGAAATCCTTTATTTTTCTACAATTATCAAATATAATATGCTATTTCCTATACTGAAATAAAAATCTGTTGCTTGAAAAATGAGTATTCTTCATACGATTTTCACTGTTGTATATAACCAAGTATCTTTACTTATTGTAAGCATACAAATTAAGTAAAATAATGAGAATATGAACTTTTAAAAGTTATAATCATGCTTTGTGATTAACACATGAAACAAACAAAGCTTAATCTTTGCTGAGCATTATGTATTTGGTTCTATAATATCTGTTCCATTGTTTTCTTGAATGGAACAGAAAAATAGGGAGACTGTACTTTTAAAACATGTATTATGTCAAAGAATATATACACTGCAGATGTAAAATAGTGATATATTGTGAAAAGAACATTTGGAGTCTGATTTTTCTCTGGGAGTAAAAGAGAGCATAATTAGTTCTATTTAAGCCCAGAATTGTAATTTTGTCCATACTCAGGCTGATGTCATTGTTCCAATTTTAACTGAATATATGGTTGCCTTGAACACTTAATGAGTGCCTCTTTTGGGCAGGCACTCACTGCTTTAAATATGTTAAATAATTTAATTTCCACAATGAGCTTTGGAGGATGCATGTCACAGATGGGGAAAAGGAATTATAGGAAGGTTAAAGAAATTAGAGAGGTCCCACAGCTAGTATCTGGCTGGGTCAGTAGTTGAAACCTGGCTGACTGATCCCATAACTCGTGCTCTTCACCACATTGCTTCTCTGATGTGAGAACATGTACAAAGGTCACTCATAAATCCATAGTAGGCTATAAGTTCAAAGGAGGTAAAGGTATACTTGGAGAACAAAATAAAAATGATACCTTCTAAAATTAAAAATGACAAGTTATAATAAAGTCAAAATGGTAAAATTAGTGATGCTTAGGGAAAACCTATTCTGAAAGCAATAAGAATAGGGTATGTTTCAAGCATGTATTTACTAAGTATACCACATCCAACCAGGTGAGCACGTTGTGCTTCAGGCACATTTTAAAGCTGAAAACTTTTCAGGAGTAATCCAATATGCCTAAGGTTGGTTTACTCATTGCTAAAAATCTCAAAGGAAGACTGTTGATTTGCATAAGGTTTGGAGAAGGGAAGGAGGATACAATCATTCAAAACACTTTTGCATTTTTTCGTGTTTTGCATTTTTCAGTGTCTCCAGGATGACCCTGAGCATATCACACTGAGATAACCTGATCGGAGTATTTTTATTTGTGCAGTAGGTACAGATCACTTAACATGAAATGAGGATGCATTGGGCCATGTGTGGTCACTAGCAAGTAAGTTGATCTAATTCCCTTTACATTATCAACCAGAGTTCTGATAGTATTTTTATTTTTCCTATGGCGATCTCTTAAGAGTATTTCAGTTTATTTGGCTATTATATTGGTATTTTAAATTAAGATAATAATCTTATTTCCATATATCAGCCTGTAATGAGTTCATGAAACATAAGCATTTTCCTATACTCCAGGCCACGAGAACATTTCTATAACCTAGTTCTAGGCCAAACAAAACTGAAGACCACTGTGCTTGGAAAACAGTTGTGCCCAACAACGAGTTTTCTTGAATGTAGGTCACACTGTTCTTGTCAGTAGCTTGGGAAGACTTGCTTAAAGCAGTTGGTTAAAAAGTTTTTACAGTTTTAAATTGTTATGGTGCTTCTTTACAATAAATAATACTACTAAAAATAATAGGGCCAATTGATGTCCCTTTGAAATTAGAGAGGAAAGTAAGTTAAATGAGAAGAAACTTAAAAGATTAGAAAAAAGAACACAGACTTAAAATTAACTTCAAAACAATATGATATGCCTTTGTAACTACTTTAGATGTTTCCTTGAAAAAAATAAAGGTAATCTTTCTCTATATTGGATATATAAGCACACTTTTTATAAGCATTATGAAAACAATTTCTATAAAAATTACTACAAAGAGAGTGATTTACATTATCAAGGAATATGTTACTAGATTTCAAGCTCAATTTTTTTTTTCAAGCTCAATTTTAACTGTGAGAGGCAAATATTACATTATTCAATGTTAAGTATTTTCTAAAAATAATTCTAATATAAGCCTGAATTTTTAATGTTTGTAATAATTTCCATAGGAGTTAATATTATGTTGTTATAACTTGAGAAATAATTATCTTCACATCACTCCATAATATAACTTAAAAGTATAGATTTCCTCAATCATTAGCTTAATTCAAGCTCTAAGAAGTTAGAATTCACTCTAATCCATCAAAAAAGGCATTTCTAAATTGTCTAATACCAGTCATTTTGCCTATATAAAATTACGTATATTTATATAATAATATAAAGTATTTATAAATTGATTCTAAAATTATTTAGCCTATTTCACAGGACATAACTGTGATTCTTGACAGAAGAGAACTGTCACCTTGTAACAATTTACAAAAGTGATGTCTTTATTTTGTCTTATTTCATTTACTCATGCCTATAAAATGGACACTCAGTAGGTAGTTACTTCTGTTATTATTAAATTTAGTATTAATGTTTAGCCAACATAAGTTTTCCATTTGATTATTTTCTCTTTCATTTTATTTTTCTGAAGTGTATGACTAATTCATGCTTCCACATTACCAAGCTAGGATATATTATAATTTAATCTCCAAATATCAACTCCAGATAGAATTATATATGGCATATAAGATCTGCTTTCTATATCTTCCAAAGTGATGAAGAAAGCATGTATTACTTCTGGGTTTAAGGGTAGTAGGCAATTATGACTTTGGATGATTAATAATAGGTGTTTCATTTTTATTTAATTGTCAGCTGTTCTATACTAACTGCCACCATGGATTGCCTTAAACTTCAATAGAGGATGACGTGATACCAAAAGTGAAAATTCTCATTCAAGCCAATCCAGTAAAGAGAAGACTCAATATTAGACAAGGTTAAGATATTTTTCATCTAGAGTAAACTGACTTCGTTGTATAATAATAGCTTAATGTGTAAGCTATTATTACATACAATATGAAGTTTTAAACCTGCGAGTTATGATGCATACTTTTTAATACACACAATCTATGGTATTTATTAGATGTGTATATATTTGACATTTTCATACTCAGCATTTATACTCTATGCATCTCCCCAAATCTCTTTCTAAAACTACAATATCTTAATATTTGTTCCTGGACATTTCATTCTCCATTGCAATTCAACATGTGAGATGACAAAAAAAAAAAAGACTTTAAGAAACTAAATCTTTTTCCTCTAAAAAATTCCAAAGAAAGAAAAATAAAAAGTCATTCCCAGAGAAACAGGAAGGGAGGGAAATGAAACCAATGCTTTTTCAATTGTCTCTTCTTCATCTTCAAGTAAATTGAACCTTTCCCTCCTTTGCTAGATGCAGATGAGGAAAGGCATTTCATGGGAAAATACAATGCACAGCTAGAACGTGATATTTCACCAAATCACAGATGGCATACGTATATAGTTTATAAAGCTTTCTAGGTAAAATGTTTCCATATCCCTCAGGAGCAAGAACCGATGTCAAGGTTAGGATATTTCCTGTAATGTGGAATTTAAATCTCACAGGACTATATAGATACATTTCCTCTTTTCTGCTCTCCATAAAGACAGATTAACTGATTACCATCTTATCTATATAGCATTTGTTTAAATGCTTAACATTTATTATGTCACCTCTTTACTTTTCCTCTCAATTCAGAATTCCTTGAGCCATTTAAACTCTCTTCAGATACGCCATTTCTCAAAATGTTAATCTCTTTACTCTATTTAAAATTTCCTTTAAGCATCATAGTCCACAATTTGTCACAATCTTCTAATCTGCGTTCAAAGAAAAATGAAATACAAACACCTCAATTTTTCTACTCTTTTGCTATTAGATGGTATTCAAGTTAGTATATTTAAATATTTGTTTCTATAAAAGCCACTAAGTTAACAAAGGATTAAGTTTCAATCAATAAGAAAGATATGAAGACAAGTATAAAGCATTTCTGATAGACTAGCCATAAAGAGAACTCCAAAGATAGAGAAATGATATCCAAGGAGAACACTGTATTTTCCAAAATGATGAAGAAAGCATGTATCACTTCTAGGTTTAAGGATAGGAGGCAATGGGACTTTGGATAATTAATACTAACTAAATTGTCTCTTTGCTCACACACTGGTATTTATTAGGCTCTGCAGATGGTTTTCCCTATATTATCAAGGAAATAACTGTCTGTTAAATTTTAGTGGAACTCAAACATACTCCATTATTTTTCCAATTATATAAAGTTGAAACCCCAGAAAAACTAATTTTTGGTTAGAGACTAGGATAGTAGTAATGCTTTGGGTGGTAGTAACTGTAAGTGGGCAGAAGAATGGATTTCTTGACATACTACAGTAGTAATATTTTGGCTACTGGACAAATATGTGGTAATGTTTTTGTAACTATACAGGTGTACTCATTTTGTAAACATTTCTTGAGTTATACATTTATGATTTTTGTACTTTTCTATATGCATATTATACCTTGATTAAAAAATCTTAAAATAAAAAAACTGCTACCTGTAAAGCTGATTTCAGTCATGAATCAAATCAATTGGGAATATAAATAGTATATGTGAGAAAATTATGGAAATTTAAATAATAAGTAGATAACCAATGATAGTAAAAAAATTATTTTTAAGAAGAAATATTGCTCTTGTGGTTATGTCAAAAACTTTATCTTTTACAAGCAAAGTGTAAATATTAATGGATTAAACAGTAGAATCCTTCTGGATTTGCTTTGAAACATCTGAACGAAGGAGCAGTTGTATCAGTGTTTGGATGAAACATGTTTGGTCAAGAGTTGTCATGTTCAAGCTGAGTGATGGAAAACATGGAAGATTTAGTACACTATTCTCTCTACTGTTGTATGCTTGAAAGTATTCATCATTTAAAAAATATTTTAAAATATTACTTATGAGAAGGCTCCAGATTCTGTATAATATTGTCCTCTGTTACCACTTTTTTTTAATAAAAAGATTGAGGTAAGTAAAGAATCAGGATAAAGCTATTTTATGGCCTCTAATGTAATCATCTGATATGCATTTCTAAAGAAAATAGACCTAAAATCTGTACTACTAGTGACTAACAAGGCAATTAATTCTGGAATCAGAACTAGGTTATTAATGGTGAAAATAATATACAAGAATTTTATCCTAATTTTTCAGGTCAGCCTCAAGTTTTCTATACATTTTCTAAGTATACAATGTCTGGCAACTGCCAAGCTGTAACATTAACTCTCTTATCTATAGACTTATTCCTACCATTCAAATTAAATCTACCTGTGAAACATTTAAGCTTACATACACCATCAGGTATATATCATCATGACAAATTTATTATATCTATTTTGTCTACTGTTGCCATTGTTGACTCAGAACTTTCTACTACATGTTGCACTTTAAGAAACAAACCCATATGTTTTGTTAGAAGAGGAGAGCACCTCTATCTTGACTATTTCTGTATCCAAGGTGATTCAGAATTTAATCCAGAAAATATGTATTTAATATTGATTTTAGTTATGTGTTACTTCTATGCTTATGTCTTGTTTAAAGAAACTTAGTTGAAAAATATGATGAAAACATTTTAAAATATGTTTTTATGGAATAAAGTGGTAATTTTCAGCCCAAATATAGTGACTGACATATAGATGAGCCTTAAAACACTTGGTGATAAATTAAAGCTAATTTTCTAGTTTGTGTAAAATATATGATGAATATCAAACACAGGTAATATTGGAATCTAGTGTAAGATTCAGGCCAATCTTAAGGTGGGGAAAACGTCCTACTGACTACAACATTTTTACTAGCAGTTAAAAATACTGCCTTTCTCATAATACATAAACACTAGAACCAGAAACCTGTTTCATCTACAGTGTCATAGTTTTTTTTTTTGCTATACTTAAGCACTGTAAACTTAACAATCAATACCTTAAAAAAAAAATAGACTACCTGGGCGAGGTGGTTCGTGCCTGTAATCCCAGCACTTTGGGAGGCCGAGGCCAGGAGACAGAGACCATCTGGGCTAACAGGATGACACCTCGTCTCTACTAAAAATACAAAAAATTAGCTGGGTGTGGTGGCGTGTGCCTGTAGTCCCAGCTACTCGGGAGGCTGATGCAGGAAAATCGCTCGAACCCGGGAGGTGGAGGTGGCAGTGAGCCAAGATCGCACCACTGCACTCCAGCCTGGGTGACAGAGAGAGAGACTTCATCTCAAAAAAAATCAAAAACAAAAAGAATACACTAAAATGAATTGAATCATGTATCTGTTTCTCAACAAGCACCATACTGTCATGTTAACAGCTTCTGATAATAAAGTAGCCATTAGTTAAATACATTGACTCCTATGTTGCACATAATCAAAGTCTGTTCGATAGATATAATTAAAAATTAAATTTAACTGATTAAAAATTTAATGATTCTATATGGGATGTAAATGTATGTGAGTGTATCCATACCACTGAATCACGAAACCAGAGCATATAAAATGTATTTATAATCCCTTGTTGAATGACTTAAAGTTATCATTGATAATTTAAACTAACACTGTATTGTGTAACAGTGTATATATATATAGACACTTTACCAAAGTTAATTTCAAATATTGTCTCTTCATACAGTCAAAAGAACTGTATCTCTAAGAGAAAGAATATGGGTAAGTGCCTTGCTATTACCATACATAATGTATATACATGATGCTATATAAGGTACGAGTTATAGAATCATAAATAAAATCCTAATTTTTATCTGCAACATTTCTAGCTTATAATTTGTTTTTATCTATGTCTTTTGGTATGTAATTACGTTTTGGGAGACAAGGTTTTTGAATTTCCTACACTCTCCTCACCTAAATTGAAGTAGGTCAAGCTTTACGGTGACTAGGAAGTCTTATTGAAACTCAATACAAACCTAAAATATTTTGTTACACTCCAGGAAACATTAAAATGACTCACATTATGCTGAGTTTAATCTTAATTCAGTAATATTATTTAAACTTGAACAGTGAATCTCAGTGTTCGAAACAGTTTCTAATCTATATTATCTAAATGACATGATCTAATTTCTATTAAAAGGATTGAAGATGACGAAGACTCACCCAAAAAATGTCTGGCACATTGAGTACTGAATAATGTTTAATGATATTTATAGGCAAATGAATTTGTAGATTCCAGACTTATTTACAATATCTTTATAACTTAACACATTCAAATTTTGACTCATAAATCTTCAGTATGATGAGGCAGGAAAAAATTCCCAAGTAGATATTTCTTTTCATTGAATAATTCTATTTATATTTTAATTGATAGTCTTATTTTGTTAAGCTCATATGATGGACAAATGCTTACACAGTTTTACATCAATGTACAAAATAAGAAAGAGGATGAAAACGATATGTAATATAAAATGAGGTATATAAATAATGTTAATACGCTAAATGTTAATTCTAAGAAGTCCTAAATATGCGTGAGATAAACTGCTTTGAAAAACAGTTGAAGAGTCATACTAAAGAACTATAAAGTATTGAATAAAAGTGGTGTAATTAACTTTGATCGATTATGTTTTCTCTATATGCCCTTAAATGACAATATTTTACTTAACCATATATCTGTGAACTCAAAAATGTAATTTTAAAATGCAAATAAATAAATCCTACATAGGAATTAAATAAAGAAAAAAGTGACTAAACTAGAGGAAAATATAAAACTATTAGCTTTATAAAAAGATGAAAGATGAGAGCTAACATATTAAGCTGCTAGTAGACAAAAGAAAGATGGTACTGCAGATGGGGAAGAATGGGGTGTAATTAAAATTCTAAAAGGGTTAAGAAATATGAAACAATTTAACTCTGCCTTAGGATATGAAATAAGTTCTTAGAACAAATCAAAAGAAATTTAACATCTCAAAGTCCTGAAACACTCCATGATATTTTACACAAACGCCCTAGTTGGGTGCATTTCAATAGCTTGAATTAATTTAAATTCTACTTCCCTATGTAAAAATCTGTAGGTGTAGCTAAAAAAGAGTATAACTAATTAAAACATTTTTTAAAAATTAGAAGAAAAGAATAAAGTTTGCTTGGAGGTATCAACAACTGAGTGTGTGCATAAATGAATGAATAAATAATGACAACATTAATGAAATTTTGCATACTTTAAAAATGCCCATTAATTCATTTTTCATCACATAATTATTTAGCATTTATAATATGCATAGCTGGATAATGAGTCTAAATATGCCAAGGGAGTAATTGTATTGGGAAGAAAAATCGTAGTAGAGCTGGAGCAGATTTTAGCAAAGTTAATAAATGGTGAGAAAGCAGTTGCAAAACATAGTACTTATAATTGTGTAAGTTTTGAATATTTAGAATATAAAGGTTGGGGTGAACCACAGGTCAAATTGTCAAAATAAAGTCAATTCAATTTGAAGTCATTAAAATGGCACTTTTAAATATTACAGATAATTATAAAGATAAATATATTGATAAAAGAAACTATGAAATTGTTCTTTAACTGGGGGAATAGAAATTTATTGGATGAAACTAGTTCCAAATTACCCACAGGCACAAATTTTAAATGACTTGAAATAAGTCACAGGGAAGTACTGATGTCTGAGTAAGTAAAAAAAAAATTGCTTACAGAAGTGACCAGATATTTATATATAAAACAACTGCTGTGTTTCATATCTGCACCTCAGATTTTTATACCTTTCACTTTAAATTCTACTAGCTGAGATAGACGACTATACAACAACTAAAGAAAAAGAAAAAATATTATAATATCTCATGTATCTAGTGTTACAGAGAAGTTCCCATCAACTGCTGCATCAGTTAGTTAACTGGAGGAATAACACGAACTATGAATAGATGACCATTTTTTCAGAGAAGTAGAATAAAATAAAATTCACCAAATACAATAAAATAAGTAATATTTTTAAAATAAGTAGCATAAAATATAATAAAATTCAGATAGAGAAAATGAACAGGGTTCAATTTTTTTTCTGATGTCAAGTTACCATTTGTTTCCTATTCATGGAGTTGAAGTGACTAAACTTTTTGATAATGCCAGATTTATTCATAATTCCTGGATAAAGGAATTTAATGAAAAAAATATAATGACTAGTATATTTCTAAGGCCATAAAACTGTCCCAAAGAAATAAACTGAAAAAGTGAGAAAATTAGGTTCACCAATCTGTATGTATATAAAAGAGTAAAAGAACAGGAACAACAAAAAACCCACCCTCAGAAACAGAGTACACATAGTAGCACAACATGGAAGAGAACTAATCAGAAATTAACATATCAAGTTAAAAAGAAAAAATCCTACAAGAGAGGTCCATTCATTTAGCGGTGTATGGGCCTATATGAAAGCAAGGCCTTCTATAAAAATATTTATTTTTGGACTTTGACATTGGATAGTGAGAGTATATTTAAGACATTAGAGGAAAACACAAATCCTAGAGAAAACACTATACAGAGGTACATAAGTATGAAGGTAATGTGTATCTATAAGAAAAGTCATTTTATTTTGAATTCTATGTACGCTCTTACTGCACTACTGAGTTCAACAAATTATGAAAACTCACAGAAGGCAGGCTGAGATAATGAAGGGATTGGAAGAAATGTTACTAAACAAAACATGTTCTACAATTTCAATCAACTAAAAACTTGAAGTGCACATAGACATAATATAGATGTCTAAAAATTTCCCTCAAATAAAGTTTATTGATAAAAGGTCTAGATAAGTTTTAGCAGTATTTTAAATGCACTGTTTTAGAAATTTATTTTTTTAATCATCATATGGGTGCGTCAAGTTGAAATTTCAATAAGATTAACAAGTTGGCAAAAATAAAATTAGGTCAGGAGACAACCAGAATGATTTTTAGTATACTTGGACTAGTCTAAATGTTGTATAATATGAAGGCAAGATGGGCCATGAAAATAAATGGTTCCCTTTAGACTCTAGAAAGCTCCATTGATTTAGAAATTCAGTCATTATCATGCAGCTTTTTTTCACTTTATTCAGTTCAATTTATCATTGTATGACAAAGAAATATTTTCACAAGTATATTTTGATGTAATTGTATTGAGTTTCTTATGATTGTCTTCAATTTTTAGGAATTGATTATGTTTATTGGCAAGAAATCAACAAGTATCCAAATAACACATACTTACGCCTTTATTACTGTATAGTTTAAGCTGATAGGAACTGAATTTCATGTTCATTTACTGACAAAAATCTTAAGAGATGGTGTTCAAAGTATAAAGCCAAAATCATAAGCAGGAATGACTACAAAAATATTAAAGTGTTTTAACTAGTAGGGTTTTCTGAAATTATACTAATAATATAACTTTTGTCAATTACATTCTTGACTTTATATTCATTTTATATTTTTATTTATGGAGATTATCCAGATGGTTTTACACATAACTTACTGTGCCATTTGAAAGACTGAATCATTTAAAATAAGATGTCTGATTCTAAACAAATCCTTAAAATGTTCATGATAAAAATGCAATGTTATTTTAAAACTCCAGAAAATATTTTCTTTCATTTTAACATGATTATTTAAAGTGCTGTAGGCAATTATTAATTTTAATTAAAAATGAAATGGTATTTTTGTGTTTTTAATTATGCTAATGAAAATTAAAGGTAAAGTAAAACTGAAATTCATTAACATTTAAGGTAAATCTAAATACGGCATTTCTGAATATATGGCCATGTTCTACCTGTTTAAATTTATTTACTCAATCTTTGAGTGTATCCCTTTGCTCCATATCAACTTAGCAAACTACAACATTATAGGAAAAATAAGAGAAAGCAAGCTCAGAAAGTGCTCATGAATAACTCAGCAAGTATTGAATGATGTGTTCAAAATTATTCCTGATTTTTAAAAAGTCTCCTTTTATTAAATACATCATGTATACTCTTCATGGGTCTTTTGTTAATACATTAAAATAAAAAGAAATGTAAGTGTAAGCATATTTTTAAGAACATGAAGTACATTATTTAATGTTTGCATCCATCTATTTTTGTGTAAAAGTTGTTTTCTTGCAGTTTTTAGTTTTAACTTTAGCAATCGGAGGTATAGAAATCAAAAGTTATTTGTACTGACATTGATCTCTTTTGTATTTTTAAGCATATCGTCATTTCCTTGTCATTATTGTATAAATGACAGTGACAGTCTCATTAGGCTTTTTAGAGCTTTACAAAAACATAACTAAATATACTGCTATTTTTCCTAACATCAAAATGTACATTATATTCATTATGAAACTGCATATTTAGCAAAAAAACTCTACAACTTTAATAATTATTCAAACATTCTGATTAAAAGCAAGTAGTGTCAATTTTTAGCTTTTTTAATTATGCAAGGGACTTACTTTAGACTTAGAAGATGACACTATTTCTATTCTGAATGAAAAAGGACACAAGTATCAAAAACTATCACCATATGAATTTGAGGGGCAAAATGGTCAGGAATAGTTTTGTTTTAGAGTTTGTATTATCAGACTAACTATAAATTTTTTATGATTATTAAGTCAGAGTCATGGTGTAATTTTAAATATAATTGGATGACTCTAAGATGACATTAAATACTAAAAGTTAAATTAAAAAAAAAAACCAGTCTAGACATGATTAAAGTCGTATGAAGAACTAAGAAGAGCAGAAGTGAAAACAACAAAATAGCTATTCTTCTGCAAATTTTCCACCACAGGTCACACGTCAACCCAAACCCTAAATTTTGAGCCGTGTGAACTGGCTAAAACAGATTAGGGAAAAAAACTACAATTAAAAACTAACTCATTCCAACATATGTATATTCATATATATATGAATATATGTATGTATATATATATGTGTATATATATGAATATATGTTGGAATGTGTTAGTGCATATATATACACATATATATGAATATATGTGTATATATATGAATATATGTATATAATGAATATATGTGTATATATATGAATATATATATAAAATGAGCAAATAATTAAAATTTTCCTGGTGAAATAATAGATGCATTCTTTTGATTTTTAGCAACACACATAACTGTTAATAAATTTCATAATCCCTGAATCAGATTTCTAAATGAAAGACCAGATTCTTAAGAAATAGAAAAATTTGCATTAAAATATATGCAGCATTAATATTTTAATAATAAAAATTGTTTCCATTAGTCTTATTAATAAAAAAATCCAGTCAGTAAAGAAAAGACATCTGTAAATGTTAAAAATTCCAGGTCTATGTGTAAGTGTAATTTCACCAAGATTAGTACTCACTAAGAGCAAAAGAGGGCAAGTTGATTTTCCCACTATATTTGAAGTAGATTTACCTGTTATTATATGGTAAAAGCAAATATTTGTATTTATTTAGAAATGCAAATTTTTATTAATCTGAATCATATACCCTTCACTTTTTGCCTTGAAATGATTAATAATGTATTTCTATAATGTACATTCTTAGTTTAAGTGAAACAGTAGTTAAATATGCTGTTTAAAATTTGGAAAAGTTTTACTTTTAATAATAAATAAAATTTTGAATCCAGAATTCAATTTCAGAGGCAAAGATCGCATCATGTTCCTCACTTATTAAAGTTTGATTTTAGGCTATTTTAATTCACTAGCATGTGTGGATTTGTGAGTTAAACTTAAGACATTAGCATCCAAATTGCATTTTAGACATCTCAATATTTCCTGTCTTTAAGTATTTGTTCTCTCTTTGTATAACTTTAAAAAAATAAAGCAAAACAAATGATTTTTTGGTTCTGAAGTGCTAAAGTGGTACATCATGCTGGGGTATTTGTGGTTCTGAGTAATTTGAAAAGCTGAAAACAATCCTTCATAAAACACCACCTATTGTTGTCACTACAATGTATGCATCTAATAAAAGACCATTCCTTTAAGCATATAACACTTGTCTATTTGCTTTATCTATGTCCAGGTTAATAGCCACAACCTCAATGCATTCAATCTTTGCTTTTCACGTTATACTTCATAAAGGCTAAAATAAATATTCCTCTGTTTTTTTCCTTTAAGTTTTTAAAAACTCTTTTACTTTTCAATTTCATCAGTCATAAAAGAAATGACATATCTACAATCTGTCTCATCT